>NC_000012.12:46551037-46702552 GCF_000001405.40 Homo sapiens | reverse complement strand
CTCCCCAAAACTGATGAGAGATTTACAGGTGGGAATGGGGTGTGGAGATGGGCATGAGAGGACACACAGGTGGGGAAAACAGATTTTGTTCAGAAAAGAGTGAATACTCCAGTTTTACTACAGAGGAGTAGGGAGACGGACTTGGAAGGATAAGTTGGGGGTCACCCTGAGGGGACAGAGATGTCTGGAAGGGCAGTATGTGCCCCCGTGAAGCCTGGACTTTGGAGCCAGACTGTTTGGGTCCAAATCCTGCCTCTGCCACACTTTTTCACCGTGAAACACAGAGCAGGCTACTAACTCCCTGTGCCTTAGTTTCTTTATTTATCAAATGGGGTTAATAAGAATATCTCTGCCAGATTCCTCTCCTGTGGATTAAAAGGGTTAAAATCTGTAAACAATTAGAACTGTGCCTGGTACATAGTAAATATTAATACCCAATAGATCCTCCCCAGCTCTTATGAGCAGGCTGAAATATTCATCATGAAGTCTCATGGCCAGAAGGCATGCTATGAGTGCATACCATTCAGAGGAAATTGGGTCTGCCTTTACTATGGAAAATGGTTCTTTCTAATCTGAGAAATGGCCTGCCTCTTTACCTGATGGCCATAATATGGAGGTTTCTTAGCAAAAGATAAAGAACAGGTGTGAACTCCTCCCTTAGACTTCCTGCTCTTTAAATCATACCTGCAAGCCCCTTCAACTCCATAAGAGTCTCCTCAACTCCATAAAGGTCTCCAGTTTGCCCCAGTGACCATCTGGAACTCCCAGCCAATAGCTAACATTACCCCTTCCTGCTTGCAGATGATTGGAGGAGCATTTATATAATGCTGGGTGGAAAGATGACTGAGTGACCAAAGACAAGCTTGAGTAACAATGGTTCAAGTTTGTGAACTAAAAACCTTGCTTTCACAAAGAAACTACCAGAGACCCTGGGCTCAGGGATTAGAGATCTGTGTAAACAAACCCTAGCCCCTGATCCCTGCTTGGTTGCACTCCAGAGGCTGGCTGTCTGGAGGATCCTCCCAAATAAGGAGCTTATCTGGAGGCCTGGAAACTTCCTGAGCAACCTCCCCTGAGATATTATCTTCAGCTGATAGGCATATTTGTGCAGTAACATTATGCCCTTTGGGTTAAGAGCAGGTATTGCCACTTGAGAAATAAACAGGTAATTGGAATTAATACTTTTGCTTTCAGAAAATCCATTATGAGAGAAATTCAATCCACATGGCTTACAGAAGCAATAATACATTCAATGTGAACACCAGACCTAATCTCCCAGCAAAAGGAAGAAATTAAGAGGGAAACAATGTGTACATTTGTGTAAATTCTGTGTGTATGTATATGTGCATGTACTATAACTCTTTGGTAGAATGGATGACTATGAATTTCACAACTTCAGAGTAGGCAGATGGTACAAGATTTATTGGGGAAATATGTAACCCAAGGATCAGAAAGAAGAGGTTTGGAGACCTGTGTGTTTTCAGAACCCCTGAGGCTCAGGAGTTGGAACCCAGGGCAGTGTAGCCAGACACACAGTGAATTTGCATTGCGGGGAAAGGACCCTGAACTCCTGCTATCAAACCTTATGGTATAAACTTGAAAGTGGATTATTTGGGAGAGCAAGAATCTTCAGACTCAGGTGTTAAGCAGGCTGAACTTAAGTGCTTGCTGATTAGGGGAGTGGCGAGAAGTGCCATCTGACCTGGTCTGGCGGACTTTGAGGGCCCATGGGAATTCACAGCCCCTTGAGCTGTGGGAAAGAAGCCACCAATCAAGAGGTCACCATTTATTTGGCAAATTGGGCTCAGGTACAGCCCCTCCCACTGGGAATGAGGGATGTTCAGTCCCAGTCAGTTTATTAATCCACAGATCACTCTGGAGTCATTCCACAAACCTCATCCTTGGAGCCCACACACTAGAGAACCATGAGTTTTAATCTTGGAGGGAGAGTGTATGAGCTGTGTTCTCATTCTGACAGCCAGGGCAAGGGTGGATTGAGAAGGAGCCGGGAACTGTCACAGCAGCATTTGGGGATTCACATAAGCTGTGACACTTTCCTTCTGGGTGTTTGAGATGGTGAAAAGTCCAAAAATCACATCCTCTAAAAACAGTTAAAAATACTTTAGAGTGTTTAGTTTAGAGGGATGGGCTCAAGTTTAGTGGTCACACAAAAGCAAAAGTGGACTTCTGTGTAATGCCAGAGAGCAGAACTAATAAGAACAAACAGATTTTACCTCAGTAGCAAAGGACATGAAAACACAGTTGGAGCTGCCCAGAAATGAAGTGATCTCTTTCATAAGAGTGAGTTCTATATTACTGGAGGTATTGAAGCAGAGACTCAAGACCATCTGTCAACTATTGTGTAAGTGGGATTTCTGCTTTGGGATGTGGTTGAAGTAAGCAAAGGAGGCTTATCTTTGACCAACACTCAACCAAGGTTGGTTTTTGCTCTTTTAATAGCCCAAACTCTTCCATGGCTTTAATGTTGCTTCCTAAGACCCCAGAAAGTTAAGGAGTTTTGTTTTTGTTTTTATGTTTTACAAAGGACCTTAAGGATCATGTAGCTTAACCTCACTTTGTTTTATAGATAAGAGACTGGTGTACAACTGTTAGGTGTCTTCTAAGGTGGTTGGTGTGTGGATGGTAGAGGAGCACTAATGCCCATGACCTGGGCTGTGATGGTTCCTAACTAGTCTGCTTCCATCTATTTTCTCCCCACTACTGTTTACCCTACACATATACCAAATTTATATTCCTAAAACATGGCTCTGATTATGTCATTGCTGTATTTAAACTATCTCAAAAACTCCCTGTACTCTCAACTTGTACTTGGAATTCTTTATTACAGTATTTTAGATTCGACCTTGATTTTATCTCCAATTACAGCCTTTCAACACCAGTTCTTTATATACACTGAGATGTGCTTTAAGTTAAAATGCTTTAAATGTAATTGGTTTGGGAAATAATAATTTATGTTTTAGATTATTTCTTGCCACATTCTTCTTTCGTAGGGATTACCGATCATCTGGTTGTTGACCAGTATGTGACAAACCTCCAGGTTTGTTTTTTTTTTTTTTTTTTTTTTAATGTACTGTTCTTCTAGAAAATTAGCACAAGATACTATGGAACAAACATGTTTTGACCAATGCTGAGCTAAGGGAGCTTCACATGAAAGCCTACAAATATGAGGAGGAAAAACCTAGCCACGGCACATTTCCAACAATTTCTTAATAATTCCTCTTTTCTTAACCACAGAAATAAATCAGAGCCTTTAAAAGTTACCTTACAGATACCAGCTTCTCAGAAATTATTTTGCAGTTACGTGAGAGTATGTGCCTTCACAATGTCAGCACCAACATCTTTAGTATTTTAAGAGGAAAAGTCAAGTCCACTGAAGGAATTTAACAGATTTTTCCAGAAACACTTAAGACATCTATAATTAGGTTTTAAAAGGAGTGACAGAATGTCTTGAATCACAAATTAATCTGAATTCAGGACAATAATAACTTTAACTCTTACCCACTTTTATAAGCCATTATTCCCATTAATGGCTGACAATCTATATTTCCCAATTTCCATGCCAAATGAGCTGAGCTTCCATTCTTTTGAGGATGAAAAACAGAATGACTTCTGAAGGATCTGCTATTTGCCAGTATATCAGTTAACTTTTGCTGCCTAACAGCTTGCTACCAAAACTTAGTGGCTAAAAACAACATCTATTGAACTGTTAGAAGGTGATAGACCATTATCAATATGTGAAACAAACAAAAAACACAAGGCTCAACTTATCGCTGACATGGTAGGGAAGGACAGTGCTGATCAAGCCATCTCTCCTAGCTGAGCAGACTGCTGACCTCATAGAATGTTTGGGGGATACATGGAGTTCAGAGATTGGTGGATTTTCAGGGTCATTATCTGAAACTCATTGTCATCAAGTGAGTTGACATCACTTGTTGAACCACAGTTACTTGGGTGAGACTTTAGTTGATTGGTTGGCATACTCAGAGATGTGCTTCTTCTGGTGAATACATTCCTGACTGATGGATTTACAGAAATGAGGGGTTAATATTGACTGGTTGGGCTTGCAAAAGCATGTTCACTGAGACACATTACAGTTGATCTATTTAATGTGTTTAAAATTGGTATGGTGGCTACCTGTCACTATGGCTATACAAAAACCAGAAATTTTATTTTTCTAAGAAGCAGACTTAAAAATGACTCTCAGTGATACCTGCTCCTGTTAGGATGCCCTTGGATAATTCCTTCCCTTGAATAAGGGCTGCATTAGTAACTTGCTTCTAGCAAATAAATTTGGCAGATGTGATGAAATATCACTTCCAAGATTGGGTTATAAAAAGACTGTGGCTTCTGCCTTCAGGGCTTCTTTCACTTGCTCTTGCTTGGATCTTTCTCTCTGGGGGAAGCAAGTTGCCATGATATAAGCAGCTCAATGGCAGGAGGCCAAGGCAAGGAGGGGATGTGGCAAGGAACTGATATCTCCAGCCCAGTCAGAGAGGACCTGAAGTTCACCAAAGTCATGTGAGTGAGTTTGGAACTGGATCCTTTCCTAGTCAAGTTCTGAGATGACGGCAGCTTCAGCCAACACCTTGACTTCAGCTTTATGAGAGACCTTGAGCCAGAGACATCCAGATAAGCTATGCCTGGATTCCTACCTATAGAATAGAGGAGATAAGATATAAAATATCCTATAGATATATAGTCTATAGAATATAGGATATGTGATAATAAATGTTTGTTACTTTAAGCTGTTAAGTTTGAGGGTGATTTATTACACAGCAATAGATAAGTAATACAGCGTGGGAACTTTCTTTAATCCTCATGATCTGGCTTATGATTCTGTGAGTCAATTGGATAGTTGTTTTGGCCTGGGCAAGTTTATCTGATCTTTTCTGAACATTCTCTTGCATCTGTGGTAAGCTAGTGTATTTGATGGTGACAGCATGATCTTGCATGGCCTCACCCAACTTGATGGCTGGCTGGCTGGTAGACAAGACCCCAGTTTTCTTCCATCTTTCAGTAGTTAGCCCATGTTGTCCACTCAGTGGCCTGTCTCAGAATTCCAAGCCCAATAAGAAAGCGAACCCCAATGCACAAGTGCTTTTCAAGCCTTTGTTTGCATTGTTTGCTAATGTCCCATTGGCCAAAGTAAGTCACATGACCAGCCTATTCTTTAAAGGAAGGGGATATAGACCAACCCTCTTGAAGGAAAGATCTGCAACATCACCTAATAAGAGTGTGGAGGCAGACGCAAGGAATTTGTAGTCATTTTAATAATCTATCATACAGAGAATAATAATAATAAATAACACCTTCATCTTTGTTCCATTTCCCAAGGAAGAAAAGAGATGAACACCTCAGTCACTACTAAACAATTATAATTATACTAGAAAGAGTTCATAGAAGTGAAAGTTAAGGAATTATAGGGCTGCTGTAAAAAAGAATAGATGAGCAAAAATATGTCATTTGGATAAGTGGAGATTTCTAGAAGAGTCTATAAATATAGTGTTTCCAAATATAAGAATATATATATAAACATGGCCATGAAAACACAAAGCTAAATTTGGCCTGGACATAAAGAAACCCATCTTCTAAAGGGATTTGTCCAGGTTATTACAAAACAACTCTCTTGCATCAATAAACTTTGGGAATTGCGTTGCAATAACCCTCATTTTGGGACTACGTGGTATGTTTTCTGGATTCATGCCTAAGGATCATGTGTCACCTCCACATTTAGGGCCTAATAAGACTGTAGAAAGGATTCTAATAAGTCATCCTTTAAGAGATTCATCTGACCTATTGATATCTTTAGGTTTTCTCCCTAGTTGACCATATAACTTTAGTGATCCAAATGCATAGGCACTATTTAAATTATAATCTGAGTCATATCTATTTTCCTAAGTTGCCACTGAGACTTTCAAATGTTTTAGAGCCTTATTTATTTGTTTTGTTTTCTAAGTTCTTATCCAATCAACCACTTATACTAGTTCTTAATAAACCATTCCCATTTTACCATGCCAGCTTTCACTTGAACAAGATGGCTTCTCTATATGTTTTGTGCTCATCATCATTGCAGAGAAAATGAATTCCAACCCCTTGCATAGCAGAAGGCCAACAAACGATCTTGAAATTCACCGCAAGAAAAAAAATACATTATTGGATTCACATTTAGAAACTTACAAAGGCAGGCTTTTACCTTCATGTTTATTATACTAAAAAGTTTTTTGAAATTAAGAATTATATATAGTTTAGCATGAGGCTGAATCATTAAATTCAGTTATATATAACTGATTATTATAACAACTCCTTCCTAACACTTTCTAAAAATTCCAGTGATTATTATATAAAATAAAGCAATATTATTTATAGGTAAAAATGAGGTTTGTGATTCATTCTATAAAAAGCTGGGCAATCAGTTCCTTTTCAGAAACTTGAAAAGTTTGAGTTCAATTCCTGTTTTTTTTAGACAGAGTCTCGCTCTACTGCCAGGCTGGAGTGCAGTGGCACGATCTTGGCTCACTGCAACATCCGCCTCCCAAGTTCAAGCGATTCTCCTGTTTGAGCCTCCTGTGTAGCTGGGATTACAGGCATGCGCCACCACGCCGAGCTAATTTTTGTATTTTTAGTAGAGACGGGGTTTCACTATGTTGGCCAGGATGGTCTCAATCTCCTGACCTCGTGATTGGCCCGCCTTGGCCTCCCAAAGTGCTGGGATTACAGGCCGTGAGTCACCGCACCTGGCTGAGTTTAATTCCATTTTTATGGGTACACGTGTCAGATTAAACTGCTCCTGAGACTATCTTTTCCAGAAATATAACACATTGTGTGAATTAAAGAGTACTTTATACGCTGCCAGTTAGGATTTGTTTTGTCTATAGATATAGGGTCTTAACGGCAGAGTACCCTAGAACTTAAAGTATAATAAAAATATATATATATATATAAATAAATTAAAAAAAGAAAAAAAGAAAGAGGTTCACTGACTTTTATTTAGAAATTACAGGCTTTTAAGAATGTTCCTTTATGTCTGTTTCATAGTAGAATCATTCTTAACAGACGTCTATGCACCCCGTACTGTAAGGGGTCAATAATATAAAGACATAGATTTCTATAACATCCACCTTAAACTAAATGATATTGAATTCCACATAATAGTTATTTTTGTACATGGTATATTATATATTTTATGTGCTTTTGCTGTATTATATTTTTATGTGTTTTTAATGCTAAAAAATAAGGTCAAGAAGTTGGTGGAGACATATATAATCAGAATTTTCCAGTGGTTTCTTGTTCATCAATTCAGATGTGATTCAAATATCTTATCAAAGCCATATGGTTAATATTTCTATAGCAATTTAGAATTACAAATAATTTTCCCATTTTCTTTTACAATAGCCTTACAATGGCTATTGTAAAAAAAAAACATTTTACAGAGGAGAAGTCTGATTTTTTTACAAAAACCCCATTTTACAGAGGAGGAATCTGATTCTCATAGGGTTATGGCTTGTCCCAAATAACTCAGCCAGTGAATGGCATAATCAGGACCACATTTGGGTCTTCTGGCTCCAAATCACATTCTTTCCATTTTATCACATACCTTTATAGAATCTTTACCCCCAAACCTCCCATTACCATTCTATTTCCCATGTACAAAAATCGCTGGATCCATCTATGAGAACAACACATGAGAAACACAAGCTCTATGTGTGCTCTCTATCCTTCAGCAATTAAATAGCCCAGAGGGCCTTCCCCGTTTCACTTTATTCACTTCACTTGTTAATTAATCAAAGGCATCTCGAAGTTATAAAACGTCACTGGTACGTACAAAGTATATAATATTCATTAAACCCAAGCCCAAAGAATAATCAGGAAATTCCCTTGGTGTGGGAGAAAGAAATTCTGCCCACTTCTCTTATTGGTATAAACATGCACATACATCTGTTGTTTACATTCTCTTGAATATTCTTAACAAACCTTCCTGTTCTAAAAAAGTTTATGATATGAATTTGAAAGAAAGATACTCTTGTGTTTCTGTAGTGTTTTATAGCTTATAAAACATTTTCAAATACATTATTTAGTTGATTCTCCCACCAAAGTTGTGAGGTAAGCCAGATCTCTATTATCTCCATTTTATGGACATAAAACTGAAGCTTAGAGAGGTTAAGAGATTCTTTCGAGTTCAGACAACTCTTAGGTGCAGAAGGCAGCCATCTCGGAACATGGTGCTGGAAGGGCCTTCCTGAGATATGAAGGGAAGCATTTTCTGGCATGTGTTCTGTGCCACTCTGGAGTTCAGTTGGACTCTAAGCCTATTCAAAAAACATCCTGAGCGTCCCACGTCTTTTGGAAGACATCCTTGAACCCTGACCATTCTTTCTATTGTATCATGACTACTGCAAGGAATTTTAAACAGCAGGCAAGTCATATAGGCAGAAAAAAAATGAAACCTGGACATATACTGAGCAGTCTGGGCACAAACAGAGAGTATGCAAGAAAGGAAAAGTTAGGTAGTTATAATTGCAGTAGAGACCATATGCATTGTTTTGTCAATGACTCCAACTAAGTATTTTTAAAAATAGGACCAAAATCCAGAAGCATTCCTTAACTTTCTTTAACACTAAAATCAAACTACTAACTACTGACACATTACTGAGGCCTTTCAAGTGGATCAGAATTTCAGGTCTAATTTCAGGCCTTAGAAGACATGGAACTTCCCAGGACTTCTATCTACAACAACCCAACAGGTGATTATCTGGCTTATTCTTGAACACCTCAGTGTTGCAAGGTCATCTTAATAACTCTGGAGGGATATCATTTCATTATTGGACGACTCTAACTGTAGGAAGTTCTCCAATTAGACTGTATGACACTTAAGGCAGGATCCATTTCTGTCTTACTCAAACGACATTCCTGGTGTCTAGCAGGAGAAAATCATTAAATATGTTTTTGAGTGATTGAATGATACTGACATAAATCTTCCTTCTTATAATATTTGTTCTATTATTCTAACTCTGTTCTCTAGGCAGAAGTTAAATAATTTTCCCAGTGGGTATCCAATGGGCAAGGCTCCCAGGAAACAAAACAAAATCCAGATACATTTTTAAAAATTGCAATTTAAATAACATGACATTCACCCATTTAAAATGTGCTACTTGGTGGTTTTTAACTTATTCACGAAGTTGTACAGCCATTACCACTATCTAATTGCACAACATTTTCATCACTCCAAAGAGAAACCCCATACTCATTAGCAGTTACTTGCTCCCCATTCACCCTCCCCTCAATCCCTGGCAACCACAATTTTGCTCTATGATGTTGCCTATTTTGAACATTCCATACAAATGAAATCATGTGATATGTGGCCTTTTGTCCCTGGCGCCTTCACTTGGCATAATGTTTTCAAGGTGCATCCATGTCGTAGCATGTATCAGTACTTCATTTCACTTATGGAATATAATACTCCATCACATAAACGTAGTACATTTTATTTATTTATTCATCACTTAATGGGCATTTGGGTTGTCTCCACCTTTTGGCTGCCATAACTAAGGCTGCTATTAATATGAACACTCCTGTACAAGATTTGTGTGGACATATGTTTTCAGTTCTCTTGGGAATATAGCTAGTGTTGGAACTGCAAGGATATACGGCGACTCTATGTTTAACATTCTAAGGAAACATTCAACTATTAAAAGAAATAGTTGCATCATTTTACAGTCTCATCAGCAGTGTATGAGGGCTCCAATTTCTCCATATTCTCATTAACACCTGTTGCTTTCCTTTAAAACATTACAGTCATCCTAATGGATGTGAAGTGGTATCTCATAGGGTTTTGATATGCATTTCCCTGATGACTAATGATGTCAAGCATCTTTTCATTTATTTATTGACCATTTGTATTTCCTCTTTGGGGAAACGTCTATTCAGATTTTTGCCTATTTAAAAAATTTGGTTTTCTTTATTGTTGAGTTATAAGAGTTCTTATGTATTCTGGATACAAATCTTCTATCAGATATATAATTTGCAAACATTTATCCCATTCTGTGACTTGTCTTTTCACTTTCTTGATGGTGTCATTTGAAGCAAAAATATTTTTAATTTTCATAAAGTCCATTTATCAATTTTTTCTCATTGTTCATACTTTGGTGTCATAGGTAATAAACCACTGCCTAATCAAAAGCATGAAAAAATTTACTCTTATGTTTCCTTTGAAACGTTTTGTAATTTTTTGTCTTACATTTGTCTATGATCCATTTTGAGTTAATTTTTCTATATGATAATGTGATAGGGGTCCAACTTCATTCTTTTGCTTGTGGATATCCATATGTCCCAGAAACATTTTTTGAAAATACTCTTCTTTCCCATTGAATCATATTGACATCCATATGAAAAATCAATTACCATAAATGTTAAGTTTATTTATGGACTCCCAATTCTATTACATTAATGTATAAGTCTATCCTTATGCAACTAACACACTGTCTTGATTACTGTAACTTTTTAATACATTTTGAAATTAGGAACTTTCAAAACTCTATTCTTTTTCAAGATGGTTTTGGCTATTCTGGGTCCCTTGCATTTTCATATGGAATTTACAAACAACTTGTCAATTTCTACATAAAAAGAAAGACAGCTGGGATTTGATAAAGATTACATTGCATCTGTAGGTCACTTTGGGGAATATTGCCATCCTGACACTATTCAGTAATCCAACCCATATAGATGGGTTATCTGTCCATTTACTTAGGTCTTTAATGTCTTTCAACACTGCTTTACAGTTTTTTGTGTGCAAGTATTGCAATTCTTTTGTTAAATTTAAGTATCTTGTTCTTTAATGGTATTGTAAATGAAATTTCTTATTTTCATTTTTGGATTCCTCACTATTACTACACAGAAATACAGTTGATTTTTGTATATTAATCTTGTATTCTTCAACTTTGCTGAAGTTATTTATTTCAATCATTTTCTTTGGTATTTGTTGGCAAGTTACTTACATAAGACAATACCATCTGTGAATAGAAATAATTTTATTTCTTCCTTTCTGATCCATCCAGATTAGAATGCCTCTATTTCTCTTTCTTAAATAATTTCTCTGACTAGAATGTTCAGAACAATGTTGAAGAAGTGATGAGTAGAAATTCTTGTCTTGTTCCTAATCTTAGAAAGCTTTCAGTCTTTTATCATTAAGTATGTTAGCTGTGGGGTTTTCATACATGCTTTATATTATGTTAAGAAAGTTCCTGTATACTCCAAGTTTATTGACTGTTTTTACTATGAATGGATATTGAATATTGTCTAATGTTTTTTCTGCATCTATTGAGATGATTTTTTTGTTCTTTATTCTATTAATATTGTGTGTTATATTTATTGATTTTCACATGTTGACCCAACCCTCCATTCCTGGGATCAGTTTCACTTGGTGATGGTGTATTATCGTTTTTATATATTGTTATATGTGGTTTGCTAGTATTTGGTTGAGGGTTTTTGCATCTATGTTCATAAGGGATATTGGTCTGTAGTTTTCTTGGGATGTCTTTGTCAGGTTTTGATATCATGGTAATATTGGCCTCATATAATTAATGGAAAAATGTTCCCTCTTCCTCTTTTATTTGGAAGAGTTTGTGAAAGTTTGATGTTAATTTCCTTTAAACATTTGGTAGAATTAACATTTGGTGAAGGCATCTGGGCCTGGGCATTTCCTTGTGGGAAGGTTTTTGATTACTATTCAATCTCAATCTCTTTAATTACTATAGTTTTTTTTTCAAAGTTTCTATTTCTCTTAGTCCCAGCAGTTTGTGTTCTAGGAATTTGTCAATTTTATCAATGTTAATTAATTTATTTGCATACAATTATTTCCGTATAACCCTTTTTATTGCTGTAAGGTCAGTATGTCCCTGTTTTGTTACTAATTTTTATTAATTTGAGTTGTATCTCTTTTTTCTAAGCCAGTCTAGCCAAAGGCTTGTCAATTTTGTTAATCTTTCCAAAGCACTAACTTTTGGTTTTGTTGATTTTTATATTGATTTTCTATTTCATTTATTGCTGCTTTGTTGCTTCTACTTGTTTTAAGTTTAGTTTACTTTTCTCTTTCCAGTTTCTTAAGGTGGTAGATTAGGTTGTTAATTTGAGATCTTATAGTATAGGCATTTAAAGTTATGCATGTCCCTCTACTCACTGCTTTAGCTGCGTCCCATAAGTTTTGGTATGTTTTGTTTTCATGGTAAAATGTTAAATCTGTGTTCATGGGCATATAAGGTATAAAGATGTAATTTGTATGATAATATATCACAAATGGGGGGAGGGAATGGAGCTTTATGGAAGCAAGTGTTTGTATGCTATTGAAATTAAGATTTATAGTGTGGTTTCCTCAGCTGTCTTTTATATACAATATTTATAATTTCATATATATTTACTTTTAGCAGTGCTCTTTATTTACCTTTAGCAGTGCTCTTTATTCAAATAGATATAGGTTGCTGTTGAGTGTCCTTTCACTTCAGCTTGAAGTAATCCCATTAGCATTTCTTGTAGGTTAGGTCTGCTAGTAACAAATTCTCTGTCTCTGTTTTGAAAAGTCTCAATGTCTTCTTCTTTTTTGGCATATAGTCTTGTTGTTTGTAGAATTATTGGTTGACAGACTTTTTCTTTTATCACTTCGAATATGCCTATTCTGGCCTCCATGGTTTCTAATGAGAAATCAACTGTTAATCTACATGGTAGGTTGTTTCTCTTGCTTTAAGGTTCTCTTTGTTTTTAGTTTTCAACAGATAATGATATGTTTAGGTGTGGATCTCTTTTCTTATCCTACTTAAGAGTTTATTAAGTGTCTTTGGTTTATTGATTAATGTTATTCATTAAATTTGGGAAGTTTTGTCTACTGTTTCTTTTTTTTTTTTTTTTTGAGACAGAGTCTCACTCTGTCACCCAGGCTGGAGTGCAGTGGCACGATCTTGGCTCACTGCAACCTCCGCCTCCCAGGTTCAAGCAATTCCCCTGCCTCAGCCTCCCGAGTAGCTGGGACTACAGGCACGTGCCACCATGCCCAGATAATTTTTGTGTGTTTTTAGTAGAGACGGGGTTTCACTGTGTTAGCCAGGATGGTCTCGATCTCCTGGCCTCGTGATCCACCCACCTCAGCCTCCTGAAGTGCTGGGATTACAGGCATGAACCACTAAACCTGGCCTGTCCTCTGTTTCTTTACCAAATGTTCTGTCCCTTCCCTCTCTTCTTCTTTTCTGGAACTCCCAGTATGGGTATGTTGATGCACTTTATGGTGCCCTATAGGTTTCTGAGACTGTTCATTCTTCATCACTCTTTTTTTCTGTCTCAGACTGAAAGATCTCAATTGATCTAGCTTCAAATTCACTGATTATTTCCTCTGCCAGCTCAAATCTGTTGAGCACCTTTAGTAAATTTTTCATTTGCGCTATTTTATTTTCTTCTGCATACTTTCTATTTGGTTATTTTTTATATCTCATTATTGATATTCTCTATTTAGTGGGACCTCATTCTCATACTTTCAATTCTTTAGACATGGTTTCCTTAGTTCTCTGAACATATTTTAAATAGTCAGTTTAAAATCTTTGAGTAGTAAATCTAGCATCTGGACTTCCTCAGGGATAGTTTTAATTGATTGCTTTTTTCCACTGTGCATGAGTCTACTTCCTTGTTTTGTTGTATGCCTTATAACTTTTTGTATTCACCTGGATATTTTAAATAATATAATGTGGCACCTCAGAAATCAGAATCCCCAAGGTTTGTTGTTGCTGTTATTGTTGTTGATTTTGCTAGTGTTGATTGCTGAGTGACTTTCCTTACTTAAGTCAATGACGTATCTACTTTTTGGTCATGTGTGGCCTCTGAATTTTCTGCTCAGTCAGTTTAGTGGTCAGCTCATATATAGACAGAGATTTTCTTAAGTTATTTCAACCAATAAACCTTTGACAAGGGGATCTGTGTGCATGTTTGGGCACACCTTCAATACTCAGGCAAGCAATGTACAACCTTGACTTAGTCTTTACTTTTAGATTGCACAGAGTCTGAAAGTCAGTCAGAGGTGAGATCCTAGAGAGCTTAGGGCATTCTTAGGTCTTCCCTGGACATGCACACAGCCCTGGACATGTGCATGGCCTTTCTAGAATATGTTGGAACTTTTCAAATTCCCCTATGGACATCTTATTTCCCAACTTTCCCTTTTAATCACTTTGGTCAGCTTTTTGTTTTTCCCAACTGTTATTGGACCTAGATAGCTTCAATGCTAACATAATTCTGCTCATTATTTTCAAGCAACACCCTCATGGAAAAGGCTGCACACATAGAAAGAGTTCTGAGACAAGTCAAACAAAGAAAAGCCTTGTGAGTGGGCATTTCCAGGAAACTTCCAGATTGATCAAATAGTGACAATTTTCTGAGAATGGTTCTTTTGGCCAGCTCCAAACATTTCTGCCCACTAGGCTGCTGGTTTCCACCTGAGATTACAGAGATGTTGATTTTTCAAGCCTCTCAGCTGGGGAGAAGAGGATGGGAATAAGGCAATTTACAATATTAAAAATCTCACTGCTCTTATTCAGATTTGGCCATTGTTTTTTGGGGGGGGGGGCGGGGAAAAAAGGTCTTCAGACTGTGGCAAGCCTTTGATTAATACCCAGAGTTCTGAAAAAGTAGATTTTCACCATTTTTTCCCCCTTGGTCTCATTGCTTTTATGGAGGGATAGATTTTCCAGGGTTCTTACCCATCCATTCCACTGACATCCTAGGTACATTTTTTTAAAAAGGAAGAAATTAAAGCAGATTCAGATCATGGACACTATTAAGAGATTAGAAGTGAAATTTGGGATAGTGAGAGAACAGCATGAGTGTGTTGGGAACTTGAAGGAGGTCGACATGAGGACTGTAAACCAGCCCTCAGCCCTTCAATGAGCACTATTTTACCAAACACTGTGACAACCTACTCTGCTCCTTTTTTCTCCATTCTTGCATTTCCCTCTCTCTCTCTCATCTCTGTCACCTTTCCCCACAGAAAGCCACTCTCTCTTCCTGGACTATGCTTCCTTACTTTTGTACGTGCTCCACCCTCTTCCTAGAATTTCCTTCATTCTTTCCATAGTAATTTCATTCATTGCTTAAAATCTCACATACCCTTCTGGGAATCCTTACCCGTCTTCCCTATGTGAAAGAAGTTATTTCCTCCCTTGCATTCCATAAAATATTTTACAACCTCATTTAATAAAAAAAGTCCTGAAGTAATGTTTCTCAATCTTTAATGTATAAAAGAGCATCCGAGGATGCCTGTTGAATGTGCAGATTCCTAGGCCACATCCACAGGAATACTGGATTCAGAGAGTCTGGGCTAAACTTCATGAATCTGCATTAAAACAAAATATGATTATGATGCAGGTGGTGCATGAATCACATTTTAAGACACAGAATCCTCTAACTGGTTCCCCGTTGAACTTCCTAGCAGAGTAGATATATAATAAGTACTTATTGAATTAAATTTGCAAAATTTTCCCCAAATATCAGTGTTAACATAGTGTCTTGTATACATATGGCAAACCAAAAATATTTTGGAAAGTATGAAAACCTACATTATATGCCCATGTTAGCCACACTTTACTTAGAATCACCTGGGGAATGTTTTAAAACTGGTGACTGTACTGTAGTTAGACAACCTTAACAGTGTCTATTCTGTGAGGCCCCACCCCCAGAACTGCTAAACAGGAGCCCACTTCTACATATGTCATCACCAAATCCAGCAGCTGGCCTCTTCCAACAAAAGCACTACATTTTCCTTCTCTTAAATATGTATTGTCCTTAAGGGGTCTGGAGTTATTCGTAATTTGCACCAAATGACTTTTCTTTATTTCCTCATAGCAACATTGTTAAGAATAGAAAATAATGGATATGACCCAAATATCCATTGATAGAATGCAAAAACCAACTGTGGAATATTCACATTATTCATTTTCATAATAGTAAAAATAAAATATAGCTACATACGTCAGCATGGATAAAGCTTAGAATCATTAAAATATTGAGTAAAAAAATGCAATTCTTAGAAGTTTACATATTGCATATCATTTTCATAAAGCTGGACAAACACCAAATCGTATACATTTTGGACATATATAGTAATTCTATGAGCAAGGGAATGACAAAATTCCAGATTGCAGTGACCTCTGGGGTAGGACAAATTGCAAACACATGGATGCAAATTATTGGGAATGTTCTAGCCCTGGAGCTGAATGGTTGGTTCACAGATGTTTTATTATCCTTTAAAACACACAAATATAATGTACAAGACACATTAAATATTTGAAGGTATAGGCAAACAAACAAAAAAAAACAGGAGGAATACAATGTAGGTCCAGACACATCCAGTATGCATGGATTCCCTGTACAAACAGTGCTGTCTTCATTATGCATCATTATGGGAACACAGAAGGCTGTGGGGCGGCTAGAGCGGGAGGCAGAAGGACCTCAAACTGGAAGAAGGCATTCCTCCCTCTGAGCCTCAGTTTCTCTATACACAAAATAAAGGTGTAAACCCTACCAGGGATGACAAATGGCTGGCACACATATCATAGGTCTCGCCTTCATCACCCACTGCAGACCTGGCTAATAGATCACAGCACTTTTTCTCACAGAGCACACAGACAACTTTGGACTCCTCAGCTTGGCACTGCAGGCTGCCAGGGCTGATGGGTCAGCCATGGCACACCAAATGACACCCAGCTGCTGATCCAGAGAGTCCATCCAGTTTGAGTCTGAGAGTTTGGAAGCTCAGCCAGCAGACGTTAGGCACCTAGCTGCCCCCCAGGAAGGAGTCCATGGGACTTGGAGTTGGCCCAGGCCAGAGACCCTGACACCTGGAAATGTAAAGCCTCAGCTTCTTCATCACCCACCTCTGCAGCTTCCCATCTCCTGCAGCTGGCCCAGCCCCACTGTCTAGCTATCATTTGCCCAGGCCTCCCTATTCCAATCAGTTGAGTGGACAAGCTCCTGGCAGCCCTATCCTGGTGAACTCTGCCACACTTGAAAACAGTATGACTAGCACAGAGGACAGGCAGGGCTCATTGTCACCCTCTAATCCAGGGGGGACCTACAGAAAATGGCCCCATTGTGCGATATGATCTTACACAGCCAGCTGGTCCCCAGGAAGCTAACCCCCACTTATGCTAAGCAGGCAGAACAGACTGCATTCCTTCTACTACCTTTGCAGAGGCAGGCCTCCTACCTTTGCTGCTGAGCTACTCCTCTTCCCCAAACCTGGTCAGCCCAGCTTCCTTTCCCTTATAGC
Source organism: Homo sapiens (assembly GCF_000001405.40). NCBI lineage: Eukaryota > Metazoa > Chordata > Mammalia > Primates > Hominidae > Homo > Homo sapiens. Next base: position 46,685,238 of record NC_000012.12, on the reverse strand, counting down.
CTCAGCTGAGAAGAATCTTCCCCATTGCTCCTGCCCCAGCTCCCTTCCTCCCCAATGGGAAGTAATTACCCCTCCTCTAGATGTTCAGGACATAGAGTTCTGGTTCTCACAGTGTGTGCAAACACCACCTACCACTTTTTACTTGCAAAGGCACTGAAGCAAGAATGCTTGGATTCTCAAGAACAAAGATGCCAGAGGTTCACTCTGGTCCCTGCTGTTCCCAGGCTCATCTTCTCTGAAGCCTTGAAAACTTTATCCACCCTGTCTCCTTGCTCTACAACCCCTCATCCCCATCCCATGCCATCCCAGCAAGCTCCCTACCTGGATGATTCCAATTCCCTCTTTAAACCCTCTTAGACACTCCCTTCTCAAGGCAGTCTTCTTTGCCTTCCCTTTGCCCTGCATCACTTATCCTCATTACCTGTTAGAACACACAGTGGGTTCAAATCCTGCTGCTTGCATGTCTGCCTTTCCTTTTATGGGACAGATTTGTGAAAGCAGGGCTCATGACTGACTCACTGCATTACCTCCAGCCCTCAGCACAGAACTTGGCCCATAGTGGGGAGGAAGCAGGGCCTCAAAGAAGTCTGAGCTAAATACATGGTCTCTGTCTGATATGGTTTGGCTGTGTCCCCACCCAAATCTCATCCTGACTTCCCACATATTGTGGGAAGGACCCAGTGGGAAGTAATTGAATCATGGGGGCAGGTCTTTCCCATGCTGTTCTCATGATAGTGAATAAGTCCCATGAGATCTGATGGTTCTATAAGGGGGCGTTTCCCTGTACAAGTTCTGCCTTTGCCTGCTGCCATCCATGTAAGACATGACTTGCTCCTCCTTGCCTTCCACCATGATTGTGAGGCTTCCCCAGCCACATGGAACTGTAAGTCCATTAAACCTCTTTCTTTTGTAAATTGCCCAGTCTCGGGTATATCTTTATCAGCAGCATGAAAACAGACTAATACATCGACTTCATGGAAATTATAGTTTAGTGAAAGACATGATGACAAAGAAAGTGAATTCTAGGTACCTTATACACAGGCCAGACAATTCTTTCCTGATAATGTCAAACTTAAGCTGAGATCTCACTGGTAAGGAAATGTGAACTCAGCAACAACAACAACTACAACAAAATGGTGTAAAGAACTTTCCAACAAAAGAGAATAACATAGAGAAATGTCTAAGGTGGGAAGAGCAACATGTATAACTACCAAACTACTGAAAAGCCAGAGAGTCCTCAGCAAGAGATAGGGCAAAAAGCAAGAGCTCATAAACCACATACATCAATCAGGGCAGGCTAGGTGATGCTGAGTAACAAATGACCCCACATAGTAGGGGTCAACAGTCAGGGTAATTCATCTATCATGCTATATGCCACCATTGCTCTGCTCTGCATCCTCTTGGATCTGGACTCAGGCTCACTGAGCAGGCTTTATCTGGAACGTCACCTTGGTCACAGCAGTAAGAAAAGAAAAGTGGTTCTTACAGTGCTGGTGTTTACAGTGTGCCCACATCTCCCTCACTTGTCATCAGCTAATCCTTTGCCCATGCCTGAGAAAGGCAAGGATAGGGCTGCAGGACCCTCTGACAAAGAAGGCAGTATGTCCAAAGGCACTGAGGGGGTGAGCAGTATTCCCGTTCCACATCATAAGTTTTGATGTCTATCTCATAAGGGCACTGGAAAACAATTGACAACATTTTCTACTTTTTACCAATCTGTTAGTATTGAGAAGGAAAATAAATTGAAAACAGGCATGAGAGAGTGGATTTGGGGAGAAAAATTAGGAGGCCATTTCAGTTTTCTGGGCAAGAATAAAAGAGTACTACTTTAAGACTAGGATCAGGGCAATGGAAATGGAGAAGAGCCAACAGATTTTAAGATATGAGGAGGTAGTGATGTGCAGACAGAAGCAGATGAGAGATGATGTGGCCCAAGGACAGTGGAAGAAATGCAGCAGACTTGATTCCTGGTGACTTGCCAGATGCTGACTCCAGTTTTCTCGGAAGTCCAACGACTCCATTCTCGTTCTTGAGTTCTCTATGTTCTCCTAATACATCTGTTACATCAGGGGTCTCTGTTCTACCCAAGAGCCACTGTCAATTTCAGTCCATCTTCCCAATCGGCCTGTCTGCCCCTGCTAGAGTATCAGCTCCTTGAGGACAGGGATGTCATCAGTTTGGGTGATCCCTGGATCAGCATCTGGTCAGGGCTTGAGAATGTCTCTAACACAGGGAAGTAGGCAGAGCCAGAGGTTGGGAGAGGTGATTCCTGGTGACATCATCCAGCACCCAGGTACAACTAAGGTGAAGTTGGCCCAGCATATTATTACCAGCACCAAAGTGGCCATAAAGGTCATCTACAAATATCAGCAGAGCAACTCCAACAGTGTTCATTAGTATTTGTAGGTGGCATAGTTTGTATAGTTAGTGTTGTAGTTAGCATTCCTAGTTATAATTTATAGTTAGTAAAGCTAGGAGATCACTATTGCCAGTGACCTATGTGACACAGTTTGGCCTCCAACTCTGCTGATGACAAGACCCTTATTAAGGATTACAAGCTCCTCAAGAAAATCAGCCAAGGAAGCTTCACCAGGGTAAAGTTGGGCCGGAACATTCTCACAGGGACCCAGGTGGCTGTGAATGTCATCTTGAAAGGTCAGCAGAGATCCTCCAGCCTCCAGAGTGTACAGTGAGAGATCAGCATTATGAAGGCTCTAAATCATCCCAATGTCATCAAGCTCTTTCAAGTGATCAACACCATGGACACCTTGTATTTAGTCCTGGAGTCCAATGGCAGTGGAGAGCCCTTTGACTATATCCTAGAACATGGCCCATGAAGGAGAAGAGGCCCAAAGCAAGTTCAGGCAAATTATATCTGCTGTACAATACTGCCACCAAAAGAAAATCATCCACAGGGACCCGAAGCCCTAGAACTTCCTTCTACATGCCAACTACAACATAAAAATAGTTGACTTTGGCTTAGGCACAACATTCAGTGATGACCAGAAGCTGGGCACCTTTTTGGAGACTCCATCTTGAGCTGTTCCAGAACTCTACCCCAGTCAAAAATATGATGGCCTCATGGTGGACATGTGAAGCTTGGACATAATTCTATGCACCATGGTCGCCAGGGTTCTGACATTTGTCAAACAGACCCTTGAGCTAAATTGATTGGTACTGTATCTACAGTACAAAACAGTATTAAACAAAACAAATGTTCAAAATCTGGGTACGTTTTTCATTTTTTAAAAAAAGTTCAGAGGTCTTAAAGATTCAGGTTTACTAAAGGCTCTACCTAGAGCTACATTGACTGATACTTTCTTTTTTTTTTTTTTTTTTTTTTTTTTTTTTTTTTTTTTTTTTTTTTTTGAGACGGAGTCTTGCTCTGTCGCCCAGGCTGGAGTGCAGTGGCGCGATCTCGGCTCACTGCAAGCTCCGCCTCCCGGGTTCACGCCATTCTCCTGCCTCAGCCTCCCGCGTAGCTGGGACTACAGGCGCCCGCCACCACGCCCGGCTAATTTTTTGTATTTTTTTTTTAGTAGAGATGGGGTTTCACCGCGTTAGCCAGGATGGTCTCGATCTCCTGACCTCGTGATCCGCCCGCCTCGGCCTCCCAAAGTGCTGGGATTACAGACGTGAGCCACCGCGCCCGGCCTGACTGATACTTTCTTAATTGCCTGGAGACTAAACTTATTGATTTAGTTTTCATTGCATTATAATTAATGCAGAAGGAAGATGGAACTGAATAGGAATAAAAATATTACATGAACTCAAAGTATCTAGATTTCAAGGTAATTTTTTTTCTAGATACTGATTGAAAAGAAAAAAAGGAAAAAACCTCACAGGACTAAAAAGACCAAGAAAAGTCCATCTTGCCATATGTGAGGTTCATATATCCCCCAGTACAAAATGATAGCTCAGTTGCTAAAAATTTTACTGTTTATGACTTTGGGGTAAAGCTTTTACTAGTGCAATGATTCAGGCATTTGATTCTTTGGAAAGTGTGTAGAAAATAATAGATACAAGGCAATGAAATTGGCTAGCTATATTAGGGTACGTTGATACCCTAGAAAAGAATTATGAGAAAGTTACGAATAAATGTCAGTTAAAAATAGTATATTCAGAACTTATTTATTAAATGCCTCCTATATGCCAGGATTTGTAAAAGATACAGAAAAAAAAAAAACTTTGGATATGGTCCCTAATTTCAAGGAGTCCGTGTGACATTATACCACCTTAAATTCTCGTGAATAACAAAAGACATGCATGCTCTTTCCACCTGCTTATACTACTGATTGCTTGAGGAAAATAAGGCACAGAGAAATGAAAGGGCATTTAGACCCATTTCTTGAACAAATTGCTTTACCCATTCTATTTCCAACTTGCAAGGAAAAGTTTTGCACCCCTTTAGGGAGGATCCTTCCAAAACTACTAGGCTTCTTTTTTTTTTTTTTCTCACAGGAAATACCTTTAACCACAGGGAACGTCTGATGCCTATTATTCCTGTAACATCCTCTCTGTCCTGGATGGTGGCTATTTTTCCAGTTGTTAATGGATCATCCTGCAGGTTCAGCTGCCTTCCTCCTTCAAATGCCCAGATCTCTTGTGAATGTTTCTTCACTAATCTCACCCAAAGGACCAAAAGCATTTCAAAATTATGAGCAGGGTGGGGAAGAAAAGAGAGTACCTGCAAATATAATACACTTAAAATAAAAATCACTGGCAACTACTCAGTTGGCAAAAGCAAGTTCCTCCCCTCAGTGTCAAATAAAGACATACTGATAAGCACTGCTGCCGTCTCTTAAACCATCATTTTGCAAATTATTTTCCACCATGCAGAAGGGTCACCTTAGAGAATGACAGCTCTAGACATTATTTCTATTGTTCCAGTTCCTCCTCTGAGGCTCCCACAGCCCCATTCCTCAGCACACACATTGCTTTGGGAGTAGTTACTATTGCCACAGAGATGTCTTTAGATTGTGCTTCAATGTTAGTCAATACAAAAGTGAAATGACCTAAGATTTTGATTCAGTAGGCAAAACACTATGTGTATAAAATACATCTAAAGAGGAAAATTAACAAATTTGCCATCTTTGGATTTTACTTCCTACGGCTAAAAGCCAGAGATCAGGCTTCTTTTAATCCTTTTCATCCTCTTTAACTTCAAGCTATTTCTTGTATACCATCCTGTGTGTGTGTGTACACCTGACCCATTCCTACTCATTATTTTTATATTAGTATAAGAACATCAGTAGATCAGTTACCCATCAACCCAAGCTGAATATGTCATCAATTAAAAATAGTTACTGGCCATTCTCATATTTCACACTTTTAGCATTCTTTTAACAGGTACCTAGATGTCTATTTAAATCCAAATAGTCAAACAATAATAACAAGATTGTTTTCACAGGACATTGACGTTTGATATAACACACTTGAAGGAATTCTGATCGTTTAATTAAATTGATACTCTCTTGTAACAGGAAATCGACACAACCCCTTTGGAAAACTGTTGGCATTATTAACCACTTTGCAAAACTGTTGGCATTATTTACTAAAGCTGAAAATACACAGGATTTCCACTCTTGAATAATACCTATATATGTGTGCATATATACACACACTACACTACAAAGAGACGTGCAAAAGATTGTTCATTGTGGAATTATCTGTAACAAAATAAAACGGAAACAACTCAATTCTCTATCACCTGGAAAATGGAGAAATAAAATTATGTATATTCGTATAATAAAGTCTTTTATAGCAATAAGAATGAATGAACCAAGCTACATACAACAAGAATACAGCTCATAACCTAATGTTAAGCAAAAAATGTCAGACACAAAGGAATGCATACTGAATGATTCCATTTATATAAATGCCACAAAGAAGCAATCTATTCTATATATTAATCTGTGATGACATACTAATGGCAGTGGCAGTAGAGGAACAATGATAGTGCCTGAGAGGAAGCAAAGGGGGCTCCTTGGATGTTTCATGATGTTGTCTTTCTTGACTGGGTTGTGGTTTAATGGATGTTTACCTTGAGATAACTGGTTCAGCTGTACATTCATGTAATATGCACTCTTTCTTCAATAAAAAGTTTTAAAAGAAGTAATGATACATAACCAATATTTCTGATGCACGGAGGAGGTATTATGTGGAAAAGCACCAACAACTCTTGGTTAAAAAGTGACTTGGAAGAGTTAGACTCTGAATGTGAAGTTTTAGGAATATCTTAAGCAATTTATTTTGCTTATATGTTTCTTTTTATTATGCATAAGGAGGATATATGATAAAATTCTCTGTATAAGTAAGCCTTAGAGATCTCCTTTAATAAGTATCAATTTAAAATTCTAAGTGATATGGAAGTATAGTGACAGGTTTTTTTCTTAGTGGTACATAAAATAATGGTACATTTTACTATCTATGGTTTCTTAGATTCGATGGTATATAATATAAAAGTTATTGTTTATAAATTTAATTTATCCAACAAAAGGATTCAGAAGGCAGTGAAATCAGGAAGTTGGCATACTCATAAAGAAATGTTGAAGCACTGGCCATGTAAATGCGAAGCTGAGTCAATGTAAGCAACAGTAGTACTAAGCTCAGCAAGTCTTAACTTGTACAGTGATTACGCAGAGTAACAGTTAAGCATAAAATCCAAGTAAAGAAAGAAGGAATTTAGAAGATGGATTAAATGAGAGCTGTATATCTGCTGTGGTTTTTAAAATTTCTGGTTAGCCCAGGGAAATTATTCAGCTTAGGTCCACCAACTTGGGCTAACTGCAATTACAGTTATGAGAATGAACCAAATATCTGCATCTTCCTAACTCCCACTTTTACTTTGTTTCTAAGTTGCCTGTGTACTTGTGTTATCTCCCCCACTAGACCATGACACCCTAAGGACAGGAATAGTCATATTTCTCTTGCATCCTCTATAGCATCCAGGTAGTGCTGAAAATATAATAGACAATTAGTAATCCCCCAAAAAAACACCTCTGCATTATAATGTCTCAGTTCAAGTATGATCCAAGCAGTTTTTGTCAAAGACATCAAGAGGAACCTCAAGCGCTCTGAATGCTAATTCATCTTCACTGACTGTAAGCACCAGAATTAACCTATCTTCCCAGTTTATACACATGTCTGGTGTTAAGACGCAGTTGTAATTCATGTTTCATAGACTCAACTGCTAATGTAGAAGTTTCAGGCTCCTACAAAATCCCCACCACCCTACAAATATTTCTGGGGATCCTCCAGTAGATGGCTCACCTATACTTAGTAACAAATCCACTCCTGGTGTCTGCTACTGCCACTCTCTCCTGTCTTTTCTACCAGTGCATCTTCCAGCCAACACCATGCTCCATGGGTACTTCTCTCTCCCACCAGAGAGGAGATAGCTGCACTTTACAGTGTTTTCTTGGAAAAGAGGTGGGTAATCGCCTTGCCTCCTTTGGGGTCATAATCTGTTAAAGAACTATTCAGGCCAAGCTGCCACTGCACTAATGTCTTAAATTTAGAGAAATAGCCCTTCCAGTCTTTACTTTGTTCTCTCCTCACAACAGTATTGAAGTATTCATGTTGTGGGGGCTGGGCTTGGAGATAAATCGCAGCAATACACTCAGTGAGATCACAAAAACTGCCTCTCCCTTTGGTCTCAATAGAGCCTCTGGAAAAAGGCCCCTTTGGAATGTGGTAACAAAACCTTTCTTTGGGTCACCAAACTGTCACCTAAATTTGTTGTATGAATATCCTTAAATATACAGCTGATTGGGGCACTAGACTTTAAACCAGCAATTATTGACTTGGATATTGTGTTTAATGTATAAAAACAACTGCCTTTTGTTTCTATAGATTTCAAGTCCTGGCAGGTTCCTCGGGCCAGGGTGGCCCAGCCTACAAATGCCTGGCTCCTGAACAGAGGGGACCCAATGGCTATTTTCCAGGACAGATGGAAGTATCAGGACTGGGCAGCTACTGTTGCTCTTGCTGAGTCGCTAGAGGCGACATCATCTAATTTGCTTGGTTTTCGCTTGTACCCTCTCACTCAATGCTTTCTGTGTAAAAGCCCACTCATTGTACCTTCTTCTAGTTTCTCATCTTAAATCAAAAAGTTAGTCCTTATTCAGACCAATCTACCATTTGTGACTGGATCTATCTTCTTTGCCTCTCTCCCAGGAACCTCCTCAGCCTCCTAGAAACAGGCTTCTGCAAGCCATTACAAAGCTTGGCAGGCACGCCCAGGCGTGACTAGAGTTTAGGAGTGGGCAGAGTTCATACTACAGCTATTATGATCCCATCTTCAGTTAGTTAGGATGTGGCCGAAGAGCTTGCACTGGTTATTTCCACTAGTTGACTCTTACCAACAATTAAATTTCAGAAACACCCTTCTAAGATATCATTTTGTATTAGAACTACATTAAAAAGTCAAAGGTGTCACAAGTGTCAGGAGTATTATGAAGAAGGCAGTTTATCTCATAATCTAAGGATTATCTGTCATAAGACAAGTTTCTATCTCATTTTTGGCAATGCTGAAACTATTCCTTTTCCTGATTCCTTTTCAGGTAAAGACATTCATTCATTTCTGCTGAGGGCAATATTTCATGAAGACTTGTAATGAATAAAACAGTGGCATTTGTGTGGTTTTGAAATTGCTCATACTTATACAGATATTTACTTTGTGAACTAAATATGGATTTTGAATAGAGGCATGTAGTGACTTAGATGAATGTAGACTCCGGGTTGAAATAATGAAAAGCTTGGAGGAATGATTGAAGCAGTGTTCACTGAGCTGTGCATGTGAAGCTACATGCACCATCCTTACATTTAATATTGTTTAGTGTTCTGGAATGATAGTCGATCATGATGTATTTCAGTGGGTTAGAGTATTAATTATACAAACATGCCTACCAAAGCCATTAAGTCAAGAAATTAAGAAAGAACTAGGTATGGCAAATATACAAGGAGGGCTGTTCTGAAATATTGCCCTGAGAGACTAGAATTTCTTTCTTTCTTTTTTTTTTTTTTCTTTTGAGAGAGGGTCTCACTCTGTGCCTGGACTGGAGTGCAGTGACGGCATCTCAGCTCACTGCAGCCCTGACTTTCCGAGTTTATGTGATCCTCCCACCTCAGCCTCCGGAGTTTCTGAGACCACAGGCGTGCGCCACTACGCCTGGCCACTTTTTTGTATTTTTGTAGAGATGGAGTAGTGCCATGTTGCCCAGGCTGGTCTCAAACCCCTGGGCTCAAGCGATCCGCCCACCTCGGCCTCCCAAAGTGCTGGGATTACAGGCATGCGCCACGGCGCCAGGCTGGTTTAACTTTTAAAACTGGATTTTCTAATAGAGCCTCAGTCAAATCAATTGACTCTCTATCCCCCTCTCCTGGAAGCTATTGGTATTCAGTGGTTTAAAAAATAAATTAAAAACCCCTTGCTGGAGCATTAGAAATTTTTTTGAAAATTCCAATATTCACCCTTTGCTTTCAACTATAACTTTACAATGCTTTTATCTTGATTCCGGAATTTATTCATTCTTTATAAAGAATTCATCTCTCATATAATTCTTAAGACTACATATTGAAGAAAAAGTAAAATAAGAATTTAAAACTCTGATTATATAGTAGACTCATACTTCATTTACTTTTTTCAGTTACTGTACTTGCTCAACTAAATACCATTTAACGATTTATTTGTTTTGATAAATGTCATCTAAGGAACACCAAAAACTTTGGATGTGTTTAATTCCACATGCTATTTTCCTCCTCCCATCTCTCCCTCCACTTCCCTCATCCCCAATCTGCCCTCATTCCTCACCCCTCACCACCCTAGAGAGATATCCTTGTGCCTGTCCAGCCAGGGACCATCATTCTCTTCTAAATCAAGGTGAGAAAACAATCTAACAACATCTTAACTAACCTTAGAGAGTGAGTAGAGAAAAGCATCAACACCAAACCATAAATGGGTGGCTTAGGTTGATGAATTGTAACCTTTTTCAAGCATTGTGGTCAGTTCTCTAAAAATGCTATTTACAAAAAGGAGATCCAGGGCTAAGACCTCCATTTTTAAATTTCATTTCAAACAAGGCCGTTTTAATAATCCATGGCCTGCAATTGCCATGCCAGACCTGTGGTAGTTACTGACTCAGAGCTTTGCTGAATTACCAAATCCTCTTTTATGACACTTCTGGTATTTTCTTTACCTGTGTCAGCCTCCTTTCCTTCACGAGTCACGGTATAAGCACAAGGCTGTAGAACCTGCAGGTTCAGAAACCCAAATACCACATTGCTCCTTAAGCTAGTATATTCACCAGGAGGTACCTCTCACTTTCCCTCTCAAATCACTTTCAAATGCTCCAGCTTCGATTAGTCATCATGTGATGGTGTCTTTTATTTCCAAAATTTTTTTTAAATATTAAGTGACAGAACATTAAACTTATAAGATTAATCGTCCTAGGTGGTTCATTAGAATTAGCTCTGCTACTTCATATTCACATTTTTTTTTAACCAGTCTCTAATTATCTAGCTGAAACTCTTAATGCTTTGGATGAATAGCCTGGCTCAAAGACATTTTTACTTCCTATAAAATATAATTTGGATTCTGGAAAGGTGTTATGAATGCTACATTAGTATTTAAAATGTCACAGAAAAAGAAATAGATTAATGCTAAGATTTCGTTTGAAACAGCTGTGGAAATTTTGAGACATTATCACTTGCCTCTAGTTAGAAAAATATTAATTTCTAATGATTCCTATTAGACATTAGGATAAGAAACTTTTAAAAAGAAACAATTGGAGACTTTATCTTCTTTAAGGGCATAGTTTCTTATTCGTGTGCCAAAAAAAATAGATCTGTTGCATCATGAAGACTTTATATAATAAAAAATGTTCCCTCCTGGCACCACTGCCACACCTCACCAGCTCCTCATGAACAGTGAGCACCTGAAGGTCATCCATTCTTCTGAAGAGCTGCTCCTACATTCCAATTTGCTGAATTACAGTTTGTTCTCCATATTGCCATCAGAATTGCCTTTCTAAAATGCAAATTGATCCTGTCAGTCCCTGTTTAATTGCAGCTCCCTCTTGTCCTTCCTTAAGAAAACCTTTCTATCTGTTCACCTAAATGTTTCTAGCACCTCGTGGTGTATTTCACATAAAATTATGGATATATGGGTAGATGGATGGATGGATGGATGGGAGCATGGATACAATTAGCAGATTTTCCATAGTACAGACTTCCAGCTTCATACAGGATTTGGTTGACAGCAATTATGGAGCCTAGTGCAACTTCCCACTAAAATAAGTGCAAAGAAAAAAACAAAAACTCACAACATCATAAACTAACATTTAAAAGCGATTTAATTGTGTTCAGAAAAATACACCCAAGTTTTGCCTCCTAACGCATTTAGACTTCATCTCATGAAAAAGAGACTTCATCTCATGAAAAATCTCATCTCATGAAAAATCTGGGACAAGCAAACGCATCTTCACCAAATTAAGCTAAATAAACTAAGTGTTCAACTTAAACTTAGGAAAGAAAACTGCCAGGAAGAAGGACAAATGAGTTAATAAAGATAAAAGCAGATCTTAATTAGCTAGCATAAAGCCAGTAGTATATTAACAAATCCAAAAGTTGGTTCTTAAAAAGACCAATAATGTGATTATATTTTGATGATATATCATGAAATTGGAAACAATCCATCAATATTAGCATGAATAAATAAATTGTGTTCTAATCACACAATTGGATACTATACATTAATATGAAAAATCTGTAGCTGCATGCACTGTATTAGTTCATTTTCACTGTGCTTTAAAGAAACACCCAAGACTGGGAAAATTATAAAGGAAAGAGGTTTAATTGACTCACAGCTCCACATGGCTGGGGAGGACTCAGGAAACTTACAATCATGGTGGGAGGTGAAGAGGAAGCAGGCACCTTCTTCACAAGGCATCAGGAGAGAAAAAAGAGTGAGGGAGAAACTTCCAAACACTTATAAAACCGTCAGATCTCATGAGAACTTATTCACTATCACGAGAACAGAATGGGGAAAACCACCCCCATTGATCCAATCACCTCCCTGCCTCGACATGTGGAGATTAAAGGTCCCTCCCTCGACACATGGGGATTACAGTTTGAGATGAGATTTGGGTGGGTACACAGAGCCAAACATGTCACACCAACACACTTGACTCTTAAAAATACGATTTCAGGCAATGGATTCCAGACCAAAAAAAATTACATATTATATATTGTATACTTCTATTTATAAAAATTTCAAAAACAGAAAAATAATCTATGGTGTTAGAAATAAGGATACCTTTGAGGAGAATTATATATAATGGATACTTTTCATTGGTAGGGTGCTTGTATGTGTCTGTATGGGAGATTCTTGAGATGCTGGTAATATTCTATTTCTTGACCTAGGTCGTTACATGGATATGTTTGATTTGTTTTAAATATTAAGTAATACACTTTGATTTCTGCATTTTTAAATATATATGTTATACTTCAATTCAAAAAGTTTTAAAAATTAAATCAAGAACAGAAAACATTTTAAGAACAAAATATATTCAGAGAAAAATATCAAAATACTAGTAATGAAAATAGCTAATATTTATTGAGTACTGTATTAGTCTGTTTTCATGCTGCTGATAAAGACACACCCGAGACTGGGAAGAAAAAGAGGTTTAATTGGACCTGCAGTTCCACATGGCCTGGGAGGCCTCAGAATCATATTGGGAGGTGAAAGGCACTTCTTACATGGCAGCAGCAAGAGAAAATGAGGAAGAAGCAAAAGTGGAAACCCCTGATAAACCCATCAGATCTCGTGAGACTTATTCACTGTCTCGAGAATAACACGGGAAAGACCGGTCCCCGTGATTCAATTACCTCCCCCAGGTCCCTCCCACAACACATGGAAATTCTGGGAGATACAATTCAAGTTGAGATTTGGGTGGAGACAGAGCCAAGCCATATCAGGTACTTACTATATGTACAATATTATGCTAAGTATCTTATAACATATGACCTTATAATAGACCTAAAAGGTACCTACTTATTAGCCCTGTTCTACAAGGGAGTAAAATGATTCTTGGAATGGTTAAGTGACTGCTAGAGGCCACACGGTTCAAAGTTCCTATTCTCTACCACTCTTTCATACTGCTTCAGAATAGCTCCAATTCTCAAGGCACAAATTATTTTATATTTAATTACATGCTCTTTAAATTGTTCTAGACAAACGGTTTCAAACTTTGGATTTCAAAAACTATGAGAGCTAAGGGGAAAAGTTGGAGAGACCAACATGGGATTGCCAGGTTTTAATTTTTGTAGTAGAAACATTCTTTTTTATTACCATTTATCAGCAGAATCATTTTGCAAAAGAATAAATAATCTAACATTGAGAATATGGGAAGTGCATAAGATCAGAATTAAGGACTATTCTTTAAATCAAATGACGTTATAAAACCCATTGCATCTTCCTTATTTTTTTTTTTCATTATACCAGGGAATCATGAGAACTTTTCTAGGAATCAGCATTTGTATACTGCTGTATGTTGAGGTTGAAGTTAGGGGAATATCCCAGTACGTTTTATGATGATAACATAACTTTAATGCTCCAACCTGAGAAAGATAAAATAGACTAAGATGACCATTGAATGCAAACAGAAAGTTCTAAATGAACAATTAAGCAGACTGAATTCAGTCCTGTGTTGAAATAATAATAAACAATTCTGTTTCAGAAATGTAAAATAGTTTAATACCAGAAATTCAATCAATATAATTAGCTAATAATATATTTGCATCAGCCAACTAATGCTACAATGTTGTATAACAGGCAATTATAAAATCTCAGCAGCATGCACCAGAAAGCATTTGTTGAGTGTCAGTGTGTTGGCTGGAGTTTCATTGACCTAGGCTGGCCTCATCTGGAGAGGCTCTGCTCCACATGGCTCTCTCATCTTCTTTGGAGCAGAAGAATGTCGAGCCCAGATTTGGAGCTAGCAAAGCCATATTCTTCTCATGATGATGGCAGAGGTGTGAGAGACAAAAAAAACATTCAAAGGCTCTGCCGGCACAGTTTCAGAACTGGTACACTGTCATTTCTGCCTCACTCTATTGGCCAAAAATAGTTATAAGACTGAATCCAGTCAAGGGTTGGAGAAATAATACTCTTCCCTTTTAAATGGGAGGAACTGTAAAGTCACATGAGAGGGGTGAAAAATTAGGACCTGATATGGAAGGATGTGTGTCCCTTCCAACTCTCAAGTTGAAATGTTACCTCCAATGTTGGTGATGGGCCAAGTGGGAGGTGTTTGGATCATGGGAGCAAGTCCCTCATGAATGTCTTTGGCCTGTCCTCATGGTAATGAGTTAGTTCTCATTCAATTAGTTCACATGAGACCTGGTTGTTTAAAAGAGCCTGGCACCCGCCTCCTCTCTCTCTCTTGCTCCCACTCTTGCCATGTGATATGCCTTCTCCCACTTCAACCTTACACCATCATTGTAAGCTTCCTGAGTCTTCACCAGAAGGAGATATTGGCACCACACTTCATGTACAGTCTGTGGAACCATGAGCCAAAATAAATCACTTTTCATTATAAATTACCCAGTCTCAGATATTCTTTTATAGCAATACAAGAATGGACTAACACACAAAACTGGTACTGAGGAGTGGGACATTGCTATAAGGATACTTAAAAATGTGGAAGCAACTTTGGAACTTGGTAACAGGCTGAAGTTGGAAAAGTTTGGGGAGCTCAGAAGGACAGGAAGATGGGGCAAAGTTTGGAACTTCTTAGAGACTTTCTAAATGGTTGTGACCAAAATGCTGATAGAAATATGAACAGTGAAATCCAGGCTGACGAGATCTCAGATGGAAATGAGGAATATAGTGTAAACTGGAGTAAAGGTTACCTGTGTTATGCCTCAACAAAGAACTTGGCTGCATCATTTTCTCATCCTAAGGATATGTGGAAGTTTTGAACTTAAGAGTGATGACTTAGGGTATCTGGCAGAAGAAATTTATAAGAAGCAAAGCAATCAAGATGTGGCATGGCTGCTTCTAACTACCTATGCTTAGATGCAGGAGCAAAAACAAGACTTAAAGTTGGAACTTATATTTAAAAGGGAAGCAGGGAGTAAAAGTTTAGAAAATTTGCACGCAGTCTGGCATTTTGTTGGAGAAAGAATCCAGAAAGGCTGCAGAGCAACCACTTGCTAGAGAGATTAGCATGACTAAAAGGGAGCCAAGTGTTAATATCCAAGACAATGGGAAAAGGCCTCAAAGGCATTTCAGAGATCTTTTAGGCATTTCCTCCCATTGCAGGTCCAGAGGCCTAGGGGAAAGAATGGTTTTGGGGGCCACACCCAGGGCTCTGCTGCCCTTGCAGCCTCAGGACACTCCTCTCTGCGTCCCAGCTCCTGGCTCCAGCTGCAGCTCAAAGGGCCTCAGGTACAGTTTGAGCCACTCTTCAGGAGGATGCAAGTCATAAGTCTTGGTGGCTTCCATGTGGTGTTAAGCCTGCAGGTGCACAGAATGCAAGAGTGAAGGAGGCTTGGCATCTTCCATCTAGATTTCAAAGGATGTATAAAAACACTGGGTGCCCAGGCAGAAGCTTGCTACAGGGTAGAGTCCCCAGAGATACTCTACTGGGCCAGTGCTGAGGGTAAATTTGGGGTTTGAGCTCCCACACAGAGTCTTCACTGGGGCACTTCCTAGTAGAGCTCTGGGAAGTGGGCCACTGCCCTCCAGACCTCAAAATGGTAGAGCCTCCAGCAGCTTGAATCCTGAACCTGGAAAAGCCACAGAAACTCAACTCCAACCTGTGAGAGCAGCCACTGGGGCTGCACCCTGCAAAACCATAGAGACAGCGCTGTCCAAAGCCTTGGGAGCCCACCCCTTGTACCAGTGTGCCCTCAAGGTAGGTACATGGAGTCAAAGGAAATTATTTTGGAGCTTTAAGATTTAACGACTCCCTTCTTGGGTTTTGGACTTGCTTGAGGCGTGTTACCCCTTTCTTGTGGTTGATATCTCCATTCTGGAATCAAAATGTTTACCCAATACCTGTAACTCCATTGTATCTTGGAAGTGAATAACTTGTTTTTGGTCTTACAGAATCATAGGTAGAAGAAACTCACCTCCAGATGAGACTTTGGACTTGGGACTTGAACTTTTGAGTTAATGCTGGAATGACTTAAAACTTTGGGACTATTGGGAAGGGATGATTGTATTTTGTAATGTGAAAAGAACTTGAGATTTAGGGGTCCAGGGGTGGAATGATATGGTTTGGATATTTGTCTCCTCCCAATTTCATGTTGACATGTTGCCTCCAATGTTGGAGATAGGTCTAGTGGGAAGTATTTGGGTCATGAGGACAGATTCCTCATGAAGGGCTTGGTGTTGTCCTTGAGACAATGAGTGAGTTCTCACTCTATGAGTTCACAGAGATCTGGCTGTTGAATGAGTGTGGCACCTCCTCCCTGTCTCCCTTGCTCCAACTCTTGTCATGCGATATGCCTGCTCCCCCTTCACCTTCTGCCATGACTGGAAGCTTCCTAAGGTCTCCCCAGAAGCAGATGCTGGCTCTTTGCTTTTTGTACAGCCTACAGGATGGTTAGCCAAAATAAAACACTTTTCTACATAAATTACCCAGTCTCAAGTATTCTTTTATAGCAATACAAGAACGAACTAACACAGAACCAATGATGCAAACTGCAAAATCAAAGTAGAAAACAATATTTTCATCTCAGTAATACGGAATATATATTTGAAACAAAAATCTATTTCTCTCAGCAAACAAAGCCTGGGTGACAGAACAGGACCTTGTCTCAAATTAAAAAGAAGAAAAAAAGAAAAGTCTAATCCAGATTTTGGAAAAAATCAATTGAAACAAAGATCACTAACATTTGCCTACCCTGGGGCCTCAGAAATTGCTACACTTGTCAATGGTTAAACCTCAGTTTTAGGTAATGTGTGTATCTATTCTCAGTATGCTCTTTTCAGAATTTTCTGTGTTGGTATTAAGTCACAATTCGGGTACTAAAGGAACTTCATCATTTTGTGCAAAGCTCCATTTCTATACTTCTTCCAAATAGTTGGAAAATTAGAAAAATTCGCATCATTTTAAAAAGGCATTCTTTTTCATCATGATAAAGAATGCCCATTTTGATTTTAGTCAATATCATACTTAACTCTAAGGCATTAGATTATTACACTTCATTAAAGTAAAAAAGAGTAAAAATCACTTATCACTTATTCAACACAGAAAAAAATTCTAGCTAGCTCAATAAGAAAAGTTAAAAAAAGGTATATAAGTATAGTCTACATTCCTTATTTGTCTCTGGGATTGGATGTATTTCAGAATTTAGAAGTTTTCTGGTTTTAGAAATGTTAATTTACTATATATCTTGTAACAACAGAAACTGGGGCAGCATTCTGTAATCAGTAATACTTCTAGATTAAAATGTATGAGTATTCACACAAAGTTGAATCATTATGACTATAAACAGCCTCACATCCTCTCAAGTCAGCTTTTGGTGCCAAACTTACAAACTTTCCATTTTCAAACTGAATTGCAAATAAGAGATTGTGAAGTATGATTAAAAGGTAGACCAAATTATAATTACCAGTAGGTTATTGGACTAGAAAACCCAAGAGAATTAACTGGAAAATTATCATAGAAATATATAAAGGTGATCACTTATAAAATAAAGTGCTTTTTTTATATATGAACAAAACCCAGAAAATATAATAGAAAAGATTATTTTCATTAGAGACATATAACCTAACTTACACAGCAATTAGCTCAACAGGAATGTGTAGCTATTTTTTGAAGTAAACTTAAAAACATTATCTGAATACATGAAATAAATAAGAATTATAAATAAATTCCATTTAATTTGATGAGAAGACATTATATTCTGGAGTTGCCAATACTTTCAGATTAAAATTATTAAAATTTAAATGTTTAATGATATTCCACTCAATTTCCTAATAAAGACTGTCTTGGAAGTTGGTATAAATAATTACAAATTTCATCTGAAAAAAGAAACAGGAAAAATAGACTAGATTAAAAAAATAATAAGGGGACTTATAGTATCATATAGTATTTCACTAAAATATACACTTATAAGGCAAGAGTAATAAAAACCGTGTGGTAATGGTGTAGAAATAAAACAATAGAAACACACATCTTTGTCGTTCTTAGTAGAGTCACTTTTGGATGCTCAAAAACCCATTACAAATTTAATAGATGAACTTTTTTCAGTTTTCATTAATTATTTTGTATTTATATTTATTATAATGATATTTTCATTGTTACATACATTTTCATCATATATACACATTGTTGTTTTTAAAAAAGCAAATAATATACAAGGACATACAATGAAAACAATGTCTTTCTCCTTCTCATCTAATCTCTAGTATTATTTCTAATGGACAACCACATTTTTAAATTGTAGCTTAATTAGATAAACTTGAAGATATCTTTTATATTGTGATTTTTGCCAACAATCTTTCACTTTCTAAATCTAAGTTCCTGACTACAAGCTATTAGTTCTTTAACCTACGGAATTTCTTTCCTTAGCTTAATTCAAATACTGTCAACATTTACCAAATTCCTTCTTCTTAATCCTCAGAAATTTTCAATTTTAAAATATTTTTAGATAATATTTAAGCTCATATCTAGATTTAAAAACGGTAAACTTGTATAATTTTATTGGACTTTTACTCTAGACCTGTATATATAAGTATTGCTGGTAATAATAAAGCATACAGAAAATATCTCCCTATTCAATATTTTCTTTGCGATATATTCCTTTCCTGAGTATGAAATAAAGGTGTTATGAAAGTCTATTACAGGGCCCAGTGTGATGACTCAAAATGCCTATAATCCCAGCACTTTGGGAGGCTGAGGCAAGAGGATTGCTTGAGGCCAGGAATTTGAGACCAGCCTGGGCAACTTAGTGAGACTTGTCTCTACAAAAAAAATAGCCGGGCATGGTGGCTTGCACCTGTAGTCCCGGCTAATCCAGAGGCTGAGGTGGGAGGATCTCTTGAGCCCAGGGGTTCAAGGCTGCAGTGAGCTATGATCATGCCATCATACTCCAGCCTGGCTGATAGATCAAGACCTTGTCTCAAATTAAAAAGAAGAAGAAGAAGGAGAAGGAGAAGAAAAGTCTATTTCAGATTTTGGGAAAAAATTCAGTTGGAACAAAGGTCAGTAACATTTGTCTATCCTGGAGCCTCAGAAATTGCTACCTTTGTCAATGGTTAAGCCTCAGTTTTAGGTAATTTGTGTATTTATTCTCAGTGTGCCCTTTTCAGGATTTCTGTCTTGGTATTAAGTCACTATTCAGGTACTAAACGAACTTCATCATTTTGTACAAAGCTCCATTTCCATCCTTGTTCCAAATAGTTGAAAAATTGGAAAAATTCACAGTCGGATGGGACATTGGCCTGGCTCATAAGAATTTGACATCTCCTTTGAGAGCCCAGGTTCCTTCACAGTCAACATTTTGCTGCAAGCCAAGATCAAGGTAACAAACTGCTGCAAACCAATCTGCCAGGAGTCATAGGTTGTCTATAGGCCTGTATCTTCAGCCTATCCACTGTGAAGATAGGCTAACATATCATTTTTTTAATTTTTATTTCAGGTTCAGAAGTACATGTGAAGGTTTGTTACATAAGTAAACTCTTGTCACGGGGACTTTTTGTGCAGATTCTTTCGTCACCCAGGTATTAAGCCCAGCACCCAATGTTTAAAATAACACATACACAAATTTCTACCTATGCTACAAAACATCACTTGCATAATGAAGATACATGAAATCATGCAAAAGAAATAAAAATGTGTTCACGAAGCAAAGTGATTTTCTTGTAAGTAGAGATGTTTGCCTTGACATTAGGATTCAAAATAACTTGCAAATCTTGAGCAAGGGATTTAATCTTTTTAAGTATCTTTACTAATAAAGGTAAATGCTGACAAACAGGATAAAAACTGTATGAGCCCAGGATGAGGAAACGTGCTTTATTAGCAGTAATGTGGGTAAACAGCAGGGCTTGAGTCAGTGGTAACCTCACCATGAGTCAGTAGTAACATGATCTGACAGGGGCAGACATACGGTCTGACCCCAATCAAAAACAAAACAGAAACAGTCTTAGGTTCTGAATGCTTCCCTTTAAAAGAGATAGAGACAAACTCAAAAGTGTGCAGAAGAAATTAACTAGGATGGAAACCTGACCTCAAACTATATGCTATGAGGGAAAAATCAAGTAAATAAGGAATTCTATTATGGAAGTTGAAATGGGAGTATGATTACTGTCTTCCAGTTATATGGCTGCCTCTGTTCTATGTGGCTTCAAAAGCTAAAAGGGAGGCTGATGTTGACTCAGTGTAAAGAGGAACTTTGTAATTTTCAAACGGCTTAATAATGGAAATGTTGCCTTAGGCTTTCCACATCACTAGAGGTGCAGAAGCATAGCTGGAAAAAAATTGCTTGACAAGGCTTTTGCAGGAATCAACAGGGAGTTTAGGCTAAATGACCTATAAAGTCTCTCCCAATCCTGAAATCTATGATTCCTTAATTCTAAAACAAGTATTTAAAAGTAGCAGAATGTGAGTGCACACCAGATATCTCAACTCTATTTAATCATCCTTATTAGTGGAAATTCTCCATGAATCACAGCCATAATGTGTGTGAATAAAAAGCTAACCAGCTGTGACACCAGACAGGGTCCAAATATTGGTTCTGCTACTTGTTGACTGAGTAGATGTGGACTAATCAATTAACCCCTCTGAGCCTCAGTTTCCTGTAAAATGGGGATAACTGCATGCACCTTGCAGGAGTGTGGATAGATTTGAGGTAGCGCATGCAAAGCATCTAGCCCTAAAGTAATTCTCAATCCACAGCAGCTATTATTATTACCATCAGAGAATGTCTGAAACATAATAATTCAGTTACAATAATGAAATTCTGAACTCAGCTTAACTTGATGAACTTTACTGCCTTATATGAAAGAAAAATACTGCTCAAGTAAGGAATGAAAAGAGAATAATAGTCTCAACTTTAAGGAACAATATCAAACTTCTTTCTTCACATGTATAGAATCCTTTTAAATTTTGCACATTTCAAAATCACTTAAATACTGTTTGTTTAAATCTCACAATCGAGAGTATAAATTGATAAACCTTGGCTAGAAACAAACACAGCTTGACCCGTAATGTGCAAAAGGCATGTCACAGTCCAAGAACAGACAAAATGATCTCAGAGGGCAGCTTCTTTCTCCACTCACTTAAATCCTAAGCCAGAGGTGTGTGATTTCTCAGCAAGAAGCACAGTTTTCTTTTCCCTAGTTTATTTTAGTCATGGAAGTTGGTGAAGATGTGTTAAAATATGTTAAGGATGTTAAAGTATCAAAATGTTGTCATTTCTCCTTCAGAGAGATGAAAGAAGGTGTGAGCATAATTTTTATTACTTTGTGTTTACTAAACTCTGATTGAAAGCATCAATCTTGGTAATATTATGAATATATAGATTTTCTAAAAATTTCCCAGATCTGCTCTTTAGTTTTGGCTGCCAGTATACAGTATTTCATGTGACAGTGGGAAGAAGGCTTATGGGCTCTACCTTAAAGAGACCTGGACTCTAGTCTGATCTTGGCTTGTGTGTCATCCTTCTAAAACATAAATCAGATCATGTCTGTTCTCAACTCAAAACCCTCCAGGGCCTAAAAGCTCAGAGCCCTTACCACACCCACCAGGCCCTGTGGGATGTGCCTCCTCCACTCCCTGCTCTCAGATCACATTCCCTGCCCCTCTTGCCCTTCACTTTTGCATTCTGGCCACCTTGGCCTTTAAGTGGGAGTCCACCTCAGGGCTTTGCACTTGCTGTTCTGTCTGCCTGCAATATTCTTTCCCCAGATATCCGTGCAGTTCACTCCCTTACCTCATTTGGGACTGTGCTCAAATGTTGCCTTCACTGAACATTCTTTCTAAGAGAGGACTCCCTTTCATCACCCTTTAGCCCTCACCTTGCTTGATTACGTTTTCTTTAACATTTAGCATTACCTGACCTTGTATATATTTGTTTAATTTTTATTAAATATCCCCCTTCCCACTAGAATAAAAGTCCATGAAAGCAGTGACTGTGTTTGTTTTGCTCACTGCTGTAATCCCAACATGTAGAACAATAGTACCGAGCACATGAAAGACACACAATAAATATGTGTTGAATTAATTAAAGAATTACTTTGAATAAGATACATAATCTCACTTGCGTTCCAGTCTGTAAAATGAGGAGGTTGAATTAGAAAATCTTTAAGTTATGCTCATGCTCTAACATTCAGTGATTTCTTAGTTTCCTAAGCCAGTTTTCTCAATTATTGTATTAGAAAAAGGAACACAAAGTTCCTTAAGGAACAATATGCTCTGAGATACCCAAAGTTCTAAGTAAATATTATATTAGCATCACTATAACATAAAATATTGCTCACGAAAAACATGTTACCATTCAGTCTTTTAAATATATTCCTCAAAAGACATCATCTCAAATATCTAGACACCAACCTTTGTCTGGGAAACATATCAGTTTTTCCATTGTTTTTGTGGCAACACTGGACACCCAACTCCACAATTATGAACTGTCACCTCCGTAGCTTGGAGTGGATGAAGAGATAAATCATTCCTTTAATGTCACAAACAGAATTCAGGACTTGGCTAAGTAAAATATGTGATGGTACACAGATTTCGTTATATCTAAAGACAGCCAGCTCAAAAGAGGGTTCTAAGAATATTGGACCAATCAGTTGTCTTCAGCTTGCAAAAGCTGCCTTGCACTGGGCCATCAGTATTACTATTTTGCCCTCAATTACCAGCTATCTTTCTTTTCATAACATGTTAGATAACTTTTAATATTCACCTTCCAAAAATATTCAGTGGTATACCCACCTCAATTTTAGAGTTGACAGAACTGGGGATCAGAAAGAAAGAGAAATACAATGAAGAATATTTTCTCGGTTCTGTATCACTGTGTCTCTGGGGCCTAGAGTATGGTTGGTACTCCATAGATATTTATTGAGTGAATGGTGGAGTGGTGGGGCTAGGATGTAAACCCAGGTGTGTCCAAATAAGGCCAGTTCTTTGTTCATTCTATCCTGTGCCCTCCCAACCCTCACAAAGTCAGAAAGGTCAGAGGCAGCCAAGGTGAGGCAGAAGAGATTCAGTGATCTTGAGGCTCCTTTCCTAATTGCCACTATGCTGTATTTGTGTCTAGAAAATGTCTGTCATCTTGGACTCATGAAACATGAGAATACAGTTAAAAATCAACAAATACAACAACAACAACATTAGGACTAAGGATCAAACATCCTAGTTTCAAATCCTGGCTCTGACTCTTACAACATACCAATCTTTGGCTATGCCACCTAGGCTCCTTGAACCTCCGTTTTCTTATCTCTGTAGATAAGAACCTCTGTTTCTTATTTTAGATGTTGCTAATCTCCTACTCAGAGAGTTAATGAGAAGATGTACTACCTGGCACTTAGTAGGTCCTAAGAATTTGTGTTCATTATAAAACACAAATGAAAGAGACCATGATTATACAGGTCTCCCAGTCTATTTCCTGTGACCAGCTTGTTCATTAATGAGGCCAGTTACCACTAGGGGACACTGAACTAGCAAGAAACTAAGAAAGAATCAGACTGAAGGAGATCCATACACCAGTCAGTATTGGAGCTCCTGGCTTCTCCCTCCTTCAACAGATTGTTGAACTGCAATTGTTCTCATCACAGTCTCACTGTTGTAGAGGGAGCATTTGAGAGAGGGGTACTCTCTCAGGATGACTAAGCAGTCCAAGGCTATAAGGAAAGAATTCTGTTTCAATGCTGTGGTTAGGTAGCAACATTAGTATTTACATATATGTCTCCTCATTGTTGCAACAGCCACAGAAAGATAAGAATCTCTCCACTGAATTTTCTATTAGTGGCAGGTTCTAGACTTAATCAAGTGGTCAGAGACCTCCCTTGGTGTTTTTTCTAATTTCCTGAGACTGAAACTTTTGGCAGCCCATTGTATACGTTTAGCAGGAAAATCCAAGTGAGTTGTATTTGCCTTGCTCATGTGAAAGATATGTTTGTACATATGTCATGTTCTAAATAATGACTTGCACATATCATTGTTTAGAAAAATCCTGTCCTTTGTTCCTTTCTTAACCCTGTACAAAGGAAGATTAAACTTCTTGGAGATGCTCCGGCCGGCATTACCAGAAAAGGAAGTCAGAAATGAGAACTTGAGGCCACCCCTTGCATATTTCTTTAACACAAGACAGAAACATTCACCCTCCCTCTACACTGAATATTATTTCAGAGTTTTCTGCTTGAGATTACAAAATCTTTAACGGCAAAGATAGAATTCTATGACGTAACAACTCAATAAAGGTCCTGTTTCCAAATGCTCCTCCTGATCAGCACAACCATATAATTTATTATGCAGTCGGAGCCATTTTTTAGAGTGAAAGGGGATGCTCATAATGATTATGACAGAGGGGCATAAATTGATGAGTTTGTGATCACTTCATGCTTAATTGTGTTTAGAAACTGTTGAGACATATACAATCTTAACATTTTACCTTTAAAACATTCATCTTAGAAAATATCTTTACATGAGAAGTACTTGTGCTTATTCTGTACAAACAAGGCTGTCTTGATTCTCAGGGCAAGTTAGTATCTGCCTCCTTGCAGATGGGTGGAGTATTCTCTCTCTTGCTCGCTCTCTCTCATTTCTAAGCCTTGGTGAGCCCTTTCTTTAAGCAGTCTCTTTGGCACCAATATTTCTTCTAAAGACTTCCTTCCAAGACCCATTCCCCTCCCAGGCAAACTCTGTGGAATTACTCTTATCTTCTCTCTGTGACTGTTTTGTCTTCTCTATTTAAAAATGTGTCTATGTTATTATAATTCCAAAAATTTTTCTGCTAGTTTTCTATTCTAAACAATAGTTATAATCTATTTTTGCAAGAAGGAAAATTACATATCAATTGTTCAATTAATGTCTTCTAAAAGGTAAAATGTTGCTTCTGTGTGTTTAATATGAATGCAGAAACAGAGAGACAGAGCCTGTCAGCAGAGGAGGTGGATCCTGCCATGGAGACAGGCAGATACCCCGGGTTATATATCGAGGTAAAATTATACACGTGCTCACCAACCGGGTAATTTCCTGTGAACAGTGGAGTCAGTATATTTACTGGAAAATCTCATTGAAAGGAAATGAGCATTATGAGCCCACTTGAATACTACATATTAAAATTCAGACTAAATAAGGAAGTAGAAAGGAAGTCACAGAGCAAAGAGTATGGAGAAGACAAAATACAGGGACCACATTTGTTGTTCTCTCTGCCTCCTGGGCACAGAATAAACAAATATTGGAATATTTGTTATTTAAAAATTATCTTCATTCTTCAGACTCCTTCCTGATCACTTTAGGTGGCAGATGATATATATGCATAACACAAAAGTAAAACATAAAAATCAAAGCCTCCTGGTATTTTTTTTAAGTGTGTTTAGGTTTTCTAAGCTAAGTCTTCTCTTTTTTGTACAAGAGACACTTCTACTTTTGTTCTTACTAGCCCATTTGTTCAAAATAGAAGGTTCTAACGACAACAGTTTTTTTAAAAGTCCCCCAGGGTTGTAAGCTCAGAGATACACAGAGCTCCAATTAGGTAGTAGCTCTTGTGAGCAGCTTAAAACCAGCATTCCAGAGTCTGGCAGTCTGCAAGGCATTTGGAAAATCAGTTCTGTATTTCCCTTAATAGCCAACCCCAATCATCCACATATGTTTATTATACGCTTTCGTACATTGTTCTAAATAACGACTTGCACATATCGTTGTTTAAAAAAATCCTGAGCACACCGTTGGTAAAAACACCACTCCAACTTCTCCACACACTTAGTCGCTTTCTTTCCCTCTTCTCCCACTTTTGGCCGCTCTGAGGCACAAAATGTTCAGTGAGCAGGACCCATCATTATTTCTCTAGGGACCCTGAACACTGGCCTTCTGTTTATAAGTTCATTTCCCAGACATTTTCTCAGAACACTCAACCGACAGTTAAACCCTATTAGTTAATTTAGTCTCCATGAATATGCTGTACACGGCCCCTTATTTTCTGGTAAAAACTAAATTAAACAAAAAATA
Organism: Homo sapiens; assembly: GCF_000001405.40. NCBI lineage: Eukaryota > Metazoa > Chordata > Mammalia > Primates > Hominidae > Homo > Homo sapiens. The sequence continues at coordinate 46,659,052 of NC_000012.12, read as the reverse complement.
AAAGACTTGCAAATGTTTTTCTCATAAATAAAAAGGTGTTAGCTACAAGAGTCTCTTATACAAAGGCATAGAGGCAGTTAAGAAAAAAAATTTTTTTTGAGCACTAAAGTACAATTTTGCATCCAAGTGGGGTGGAAATTTTGATGCCAGTGTATATGGGCATTATAGTTATAAATTAGGTGATTTCTCCTGGGTCCTGCCAGGCACAAAGAACATTTGGCTATGTGTGTGTCAATTTAACTGAAGTCATTACTCAGGAAACAGGCTTATGCTCCTCACTTAACATGTTCTTTTTAAAGCACTGGGATTGGCTCACTAAAAGAGCCTTTTGTAAAGTAATAAAACTTTTGCTTGTGTGAATTTTACCCTACTAACTGCTAAATTCCTTTTTTAGTGTATAGGATTTCCTCAAAGTGAAAAGCCCTCACTCTGTGATTTGATACAAAAGACATACCATGTTAAATTTCCCGTAAAATCTAATACATCGAGGAGGGAAGTAAAATCCATTATTGGGTCTTTTCCTCCTCGTGAGGTGAGAGAAAATTGCTCCCTCCTTGTAGTACCTTAACCCCTGGCTTGCCAATATTTTCTCTTCTTGTAGTAGCTGTGTCCAAAAGAATAGCTAAAAAAGCAGCAAGGCTCACTTTTTATCTTTCAATAAGCTACAATATTAAAAATTAATTATATTATTTTAACCATATATATCATGTTGCAAAGACAAAACACAAACATCTGAAATTGTATGAAATGGCCTTATGTCCAGTTTAAGCCTAAGTATAGGAGTAGCCACAGATTGGGGGTGGTTTCCCTGCTGCAGATCAGCTGAGTCCTGGCCACTCTCAGTGACATGGCCCAGAAGTTTGGAAAGGCAAGGAAGGTATGAAGGTAATTCTAATTTCGGATTGATGGAATAACTCAAACAACTAACCTATTCTAACGACTCAGCCCCAGTTCTTCCCTTTAATGACTCTGAAAGGCAAAAATTGACAATTCTACTTGACCCTATTTTGCCTGTTTTCTGTTATTCTGCTTAGTGTTAGTAACAACTAACAGCTCTAATGCTTGTCTCTCACTGTACTGAGTCATCAAGTAAGTCTGACCGGCCATCACTTAACAGGCAGTCCTATCTGCAAAGGGACAGAGTTTCTATATTTGCTTCATGCTACAAGTGACATTTTATGACAATTGTGCCTCAAAAGTGGTTTTTTTCTGAAAAAAAAAAAAACAAAAAACGAAAAATACTTCCTAGAAAAGTATTTCTCTCCTTATTCAGTATTGCACATCCCTCCTCTGAAAAGGAAAACAATTCAAATATGACAACTTTCTGAATTTGTTGGGTATTGCTTAAGAAAAAAGAAATATGTGCATATTTCTGATTATCTCCAGCATAGAATTGTTTAAGTCCTGGGGCAATATATGTGTTGGCTTACATGGCATTGAGCTCTCCCAAGGGAGACTGTACCCCATTCCTGATGAAAATATCAGCTTTCCCTTATAAGAACTGGCAGAGCTAAAAAAAACAATTCCTTTGTCTAGAGCCAATACCTTTTACCCAAGCATATTATTATCTTAGTAATCTATTTCATATAAAAACAACATTTGATCAAAATTAAGTTAGGGTGTCAGATAAGCTAGAGCCTTCAACTGTTTGGTTTTATTTTTCACAAGGTCAATTTTGACCCAAAGTTCTAGGAGATGAGTTTAAGATATGTGAATAAAAACACACACCCTTGCTGATTTTGCAAGCTTTCCAGCTACATAGACTTAGAACTTTGCTTATAGAGTTAGAAGGAGCCTTATGCATTATCTAGTTCTGTAGAGAAACTGAGGCCAAGAGAGGTCAAGGGAATTGCCAAAGGTCACAACCAAGCAGTACCAAGAGCTAACCTTTCCTGCCTGCTAGTCCAGGACTCCTCCCATTACACCATCGTATCGTTATTTAGGTCAGCATTCAATTAACAAACCATGACATTATGCACCCACCTCTATTTTCACAAATATTACAACATTCAACAAACTTATGTAAAACAAATTTTATAACTAACTAGCATTCAGGAAATATCTCCTTCTAAAGAACTATCATCTTGCAAAAAATTAGTATTTGGTAAATGAAACCAGCTATTTTTGTGACATATTATATTCCTTCAATCAAAGCTCTGAATCTAGAAGAAATTTAAGCACAAAGCTGGCAAAATAAATTAGCAGAGTGGGCCCCAATGAACATGGCAGACCTCAAGGCAGCTGTGCCAAGGGGTGGGTAAGGCAGCAGCCAATCAAGAGCACCCATCCAGGGCATGAACACAGCACAAGTGAGAGGCAGAAGTGACAAGCCCAATGTGACTGCCCAGACTGGGAAGAGCTAAAAACTCTCAAAATCGCTCGGCCAAAAGTTAGCAACAAACACAATAATGCCTGAGAACATTGTTGTTTTTGCATGGCTTCAAATTACTAGAAATTCCTGACTAATATCCCCTCTCCCACCCCTACCTTCAGGCCTTATATAATTTACTGTTAGGTAAACCACTCTGTGACATTTCAATGGCCTTTTTATATTTCAACAAAACTTATTTTTTACCATTCTCCAGGATGAATTATGAAAATGTCTAAAGGCACATGACTATCAAACATTAAAAGTCATGCTGTAGGCTGCACGCAGGGGTTCACACCTATAATCGAGCATTTTGGGAGGCCAAGGCAGGAGGATCATTTGAGTCCAGGAGTTTGAGACCAGCCTGGGCAACATAGTGAGACCCTGTCTCTACAAAAAGTACAAAACAAATTAACTGGGTTTGGTGGCTCACATCTGTGGTCTCAGCTACTTGGGAGGCTGAGGCAGGAGGATCACTGGAGCCCAGGAGGTTGAGGCTGCAGTGAGCTGTGATTGTGCCACTGTACTCCAGCCTGGGCAGCAGAGCAAGATCCTCTCTCCAAAACAGTCATGCTGTAGTTGAAGACACTGCCCCAGTTCAACTCGTATGGCCTTTCCCCAACTATTCACAAGCTCTTGCGTGCATGCATGCACACACACACACAGACACACACACATTCCCCCAAATATGTGGGATGCTACACATAGCTGTATAAACCAAATTGGGAAAAATTGGGGAAGGCAGTTTGCATCCGTGCAGTATAGAATCCCCTAGACAGACCAGACTATACAAGTAAATTGATTGATTACCGGGGTTACCAAGCACCAACTGAGGCCAAGGCATCATCAAATCCTCAGGGGAACTGAGTTCTCTTTTTTTAAATGGACCTAATTACTAAGCCACCTAATAAATACCACACTGATACTTTTAAAGGAAAACTATGCCAATTCTCAAATGTCCAAGGGAATCTCTCAATCCCAGGAAATACTGACTGGCTGGCACTAATAGTTGACTGGCTGGCACTCCCTCATTTCCTACCACAGAATGGGCAGAGCCCAATACCCAGACCCCTCCAGAGACCCGAGGAAGGAAATTCAAGTTCAACCCTCTCATTGTGAAGATGGGACAACAGACAGACCACGGGGCAAATGTAAGAAGTCCTGGTTCAGGTTGTTCAACCTTTGATCTTTCTATCTGTGACAGAAATCATGGCTGAAACAAAACTGAATTAGAATCTTCATAGTAATTCTGCAGTCTTGCAAATATTTTCCCAACTTTATCAATGTGCCCTCTGCTTTCTGTGAATAATTACAATGAAAAACACAGACCTTCACCATACCACAAAGTTTGTAGTACTTTCCCTTTCCAAATTCTGGGGTTTAAGTGTCCCTACTGTGTGTTCTTAGCCCACCCTGCTTTTCTCATGATAGAACTGTTCAAACTGTGTTTAAATTGCCAATGTCTGCATTCCCATTAAACCATACCTCCACGAGGGCAGGGACCATGTCTGTCTCATTCACCATTTTGTCCCCTGGCATACACATTACACTAGTTCACTAAGATTATTAAGTCATTCAATAAATATTTATTGAAGACTTACTATGTGCCAGGCTGTGTTCTGTGTGCTAGAAATACAGCACAAAGCAAACCAGAGAGTCTGAAATACCATGGAGATTATACTGTAATGGAAGTGTTAGATGTCATTTAGTTGCCTGTCTTGGGTCCCTTTTACATGGCCAACACTTCTGCTCCCAGTTTCTATGCATGTTGGCTCCCATCTGTCCCATTCGAAAGAGAATTGACCTCAGTGCAAGGGCATTGCCTCAGCCAGGAAGTCGCAATGCCCCGAACTCAGCACACAGCCAACGACTGAAAGGAGGGTACAAAGAGTGGGCCTCTTGCTTCCAGATGCAATTAGTGCACCGGAAAAATTCTTTCTCATGGCTAGACCTCCCTGGAAGCACACCCTTGCCCGGCTGCTTCACTCACACTATCCTGCATCATTCCCTCCCTTTACAGGTTTTCCTGAAGAGCATTCCCTCAATATGCACCTGAATTCTTCTCTCAGGTTCTGTTTCTAGGAAATCCAACCTAAGACAGAAGGAAAGACAACAATAAGCCAGCAAACGTGTAAAGGTATATACCATGTTAGATGGAGATTATGGCTTTGGAGAATAATAAAGCAGGAGAAAAGGGAAGGAGTATTTTGGGGAGATAGAGTTCTCATTGAAAAAAAGTGGCCAGAGAAAGTTTTCCCAATAAGGTAGTATCAGTAGGATCTAAGGAAAGTGAAGGTGCAAGCAGTGTGGAAGTCAGGGGGATGGACATCCCAGCCAGAGGAACCTCAAATGCTAAAGAGCGAGAGGGAGGCTGCTGCAGCTGGAATAAGTAGCCAGGTGGATGGAGGTGGGCGGGGTGTGGTCATAAGTAGACGGTTGGATGATGGTATTGAAAAGGAGGGTCTTGGCCGGGCGCAGTGACTCACACCTGTAATCCCAGCACTTTGGGAGGCCAAGGTGGGCAGATCACAAGGCCAGGAGTTCCAGACCAGCCTGACCAACATGGTGAAACTCTGTCTGTACTAAAAATACAAAAAAAAAAAAAAAAAAAAAAATTAGTAGGGCGTGGTGGTGCGCGCCTGTAATCCCAGCTACTCAGGAGGCTGAGGCAGGAGAATCATTTGAATCTGGGAGGCAGAGGTTGCAATGACCCGAGATTGCGCCATTACACTCCAGCCTGGGTGACAGAGCGAGACTCTGTCTCAAAAGGAAAAAAAAAAAGGAAAAAAAAGGGTCTCCTTCTTCCTGCTGCAAAGTGATTGAAGTACCAGAACATTAAAACAAGAGCAAGAACTGGATATGAAAAAAGTCATCTCATAAAGACTGAGTATCTTGTAGAGACAGTGTAGATGAGAAAGTGTATATGTGAACTTTATGATTTTTTAAGGGTATAAAACTTCTTAGTAGAAATTGACAGATAGAGGAGGATAGTAGTACAGTTCTCTATTTCCTTTCCATATTTTTTCATGAAGGCTTTCCCCTGCATCTTTTATGCACATCCCTCTTTCCATGTGTCTTCTGTCCATCCTAATTTACATGTGACTTCCTTGTATCAATTTTGAATTATTATTCTGTGAGTTCATACATTAATTTGGTCACTTTGGTAATATTAATGTAAACTATTGCACAGCCATATTTATTGGAAGGAACTGAATTATACATTTTTCTTCCCTTTCCTCCCCTCCCCTCCCCTTTCCTCCTTTTCCTCGCCTCCTCCTTTTTTTCTTCTCTTTCCTCTTCTATTCTTCTCTTTTACTCTTCTCTTGCATGTGGGAGGTAGCTGCTTTCATAAACCAATATACATTCGTGCTGCACTAGCCTGGTGATTGCCGGTCCCTCTCTGCTGGGTGCCTGATGCCAGGCTGGAGAGTAGCTACCACCCAACTGACAGACTGAAAAGCAAACTAGAACCTACAGAGTGATGCCCCAAAATATATATTAGCTACAGTCTGGGGTTGCTTTGCTTATCATTGCTCTATGATATAGACAGAATTCTTTTCTACCTCTCTTTGGATAATAGCACTCACGTGAAGAGACAGGTGCCCTCCTGTAGATTACACAGCATATATGTCACACTTCTAATAATAACAATGGTCAAAAGGGTGATTTTTCTTCATGCTTGGCACTGTGCTGAACAATTTAGATGTATTATCTCATTGAATCTTTACAATCTGTGAGGTGGGTATTATAATTCCCATTTTATAGATGAGAAAACTGAGGCACTGAGGTAAAATTACTTCCCCAGGGTCACTCATCTATTAAATGGCACATTTGGGAATGCATCTAAGATTGAATGAGACCAGAACTGAAGCTCTTGAACTCCACTACACCACTTCCCTAGTTACAGTAATTCACATTGTTTTTTTTGCTTCCATTTCCATCTACCCACCTCCCACCATTGCTCTATGAATTTCCTGAGAATAGAGACTGTATTTATTCACCTGTGTCTGCCAAGCACATGGTTAGGAGTCCGATAAAGTAAACAATTGTTTTCCCCACCTGAATTCTAAACCAAATGAGGGACAAGATGAAAGAGTAAGACAGATATTGATTAAAATATCAGCTTTATTACCAAGGATGACTGTGCTGCAGGAGGCGGCTCAGTGTGAAGAACTACGGGTTTCCTGATGTTGAAGCTCAGAATTAGCCACACTGACCTTCTCAGTCATGCATGATGCCAGGAAAATCACAGGCTTCCATTCTACAGTGAAGGGCTTGGAGGAGCAGGCAATAATCTGTGGAAAGAGGAAGGGGCTGAGACACACCTGGCTGACCAGCCTCTTATCTCAGTATTATTAGGTGGGAGTGCCTGGAGGGTGAAACTAGTGGAGGTCTTTTCACGTGGAAATAGGAAGCTCAGGCCAAGGAGGTTCAGACCGCCTTCCCTAATCTTAGTACCTGGAACTAAATGTTCTTGAATTAATTAAGCAGGAGGGTTATAGTAAGAATAAGAGTTAGCTTTATAATAAGCTGTGCAATGTAACACAATAAATCAGCACTCTGAAAGCTGAGAGCCCAAATCCAGAGCATATTTGGGGAGAGAACTCAGGTTTCTTAATTTCCTTCTCAACTGCATAATCCACTGGTATACAGAAATCTGCCCCTCTTTTAAGCTCAGGTTTTTATTTAGGGTTGGATTGGGCTGGTTGGGGAGCCAGGACAACCTGACATGTTTTCTGGGTCCTGGGGGAAGGGGTGCACACCTAAGCCCCAGCTAGCTTTGAAGGACATCACTGAGAAGAGGATCCCTTGTGAGAACCAGAATGTAGTGCTGGCTGGGCATTGGGCATACCTGTGACACTTTGTGGCCCGGTGGCAGGGCACAGCCCTCAGCTCTAGAGGAGAAAACAAGAGAGCAAATCTGAAGTGTAGAGTTCCACCAGCTGCCCAGAATGCTTCACCTTCCCATCAGAAGACATCAAATCATGCCCAAGTCCTCCCAAAGCACCAAGATGTTTACAAAATCTCAGAATCTGCTCAATCTCATCCAACTAATTCTTCTTCCCTCATCAACTCATTGAATTCATTTGTGTCAATATTTTACTTTGGAGAGGTGGGAAAACACCAGAACCTCTAAACCCGCCAGCCAAAACACTAGAGCATAGCCATGAACAGAATTTGAGTCTTCTTGGACAGACAGTCTATACTCAAAGAAAATAATCTTTTTGCTTAAATTGTCTAAATTGGCCCTTCTAGCTCTAAGTATGTTGAATGTTGACCTTCCAAATTGCTCTGGCTCTACTGATCCAGGGGTGTTATATTCTGTTGTCAAATAAGAAGTATGGAATGAACACAATCTCAGGAATAAAAAATGGCTTCCTTTCATCTGGAACTCAAGGGTGATAGCCTAGCCTAGCTCTATTACTTGATGTACAGACATCTGATTGAAAGGGCTAACCAAGACTGTCTTATCAATCAGCTATTTACTTCCATAAACATTACTTTACAGATTTTATCCTATCCAAAAATGCTGAAGATGTAATCAGGATCAAAACAAAAACCCCCACCTGTACATTAATCATTCTAATACAGTCTGAGCCTCTGCTTCGCAGCATAGTAGTAAGAGGTTCTGTCAATGGCTTCATCCATCTGTTCTGGTTTGCTTTGCACAGATAAAATCAGTAACCAAGAATCAGAGATTTTACTAGTGGCCCCAGCTCTCTCACAAATAACCCAGTGAGGATCAGGAAAAAAATAGACCAAGGATGACTCAGAAAAATCCATTGTCTATGGGAAAGACATCAGAATAGATACAAACGACAGTAACATTAGTTTAGAAGGAGCATAAGTCTATAAAATGTTATCTCCGGAGCTGAGTTGTTCAAACAAAAAGATAAAATCTTGAAATAATGGTTAAATTTGTATAATCTACTGTGGAAAGTTCCAACCCCAATTGTGATATCATCCAAAGCCAAGTTAAATCAGGCGCAGTGGGAATGATGCTATCTCTGCCCCTGGTTCCAACTAGATGAACACACCACCTCCAAAAGCACTAGTGCCCAAGCCAGTTGCCAACCAGATATTATCTCTAAAATCATAGGACAAGAGCAAAGCTGTTGTTCTGCTCACCTTCAGCAAGATAATAAATATCAGAAAGTAGTGTGTGTAGCTCATGGGATTCAATTTCACATGCCTGTTAAATTCAGAGAAATAAGGGTAACTGACGGCATTCTATTTGGCTAAAACAGATTAAATTATTTTCCCTGGAACAAACTGCCGAACTCAGGTATTATGATTTTGAGGATATAAAAAAGAATTGATGTAAGAACAAGTGCTAGTTAATGAAAAAGCAACAACTCTACTGCTAGAAAATAGTTTAACATTTCCACTTCACCAAACTCTCCATACTATCTTTCTTATGATCACTGACCAAAGTGCTTTTCAGAGGTACATAGTTATCAAAATCATCAGTTGTCAAAATAGTTACTTTTGCATCCATTATTCAGATTAACTAATGATATTGTTAAATATTTTTTGTAATCCTTTAAACTAGTTAACTATGAGGTGTGAAAAATTACAACTGAAAACTATCAGAGAGAGTTACCTATTTTCAAGAATGTTACCATAAAATTAACTATGTTTTGAAAAAAATTTTATTTTAAAAACATAGCAGCATCTTCCAGCACATATGAAGCTTGAAAGTTACCACTTTGACCTAACAAAAAGTGAAAAGCTGAACCAACTGAAACATCAACAGTTCTTAGATCTCTTAGTCTGTCTAGTGTTGCTATGTGCATTGTGCACATGTACCCTAAAATTTAAAGTATAATAATAATAAAATTTTAAAAAAAAGAAATATCTGAGGCTGGGTAGGTAATTTACAAAGAAAAAAGGTTTATTCAGCTCATAATCCTGATGACTAGAAAGTTTAAGATTGGGCACCTACAACAGGCAAGAGCTTCAGGCTGCTCACACTCATGGTGGAAGGTGAAAGGGAGCCTGTGTGTGAAGAGCTCAAATGGTGAGAGAGGAAGCAAGAGTGAAAAGGGAGGTGCCAGGCTCTTTTTAACAACTGGCTTTTGCGGGAACTAATAGAGTGAGAACTCACTCATCACCATGAGGATGAGGACACCAGGAGGACCCAGTCAGTGGGTGATTTTTTTTCTTTTCTTTTGAGACAGAGTCTCGCTCTTTCACCCAGGCTGGAGTGCAGTGGGGCAATCTCGGCTTACTGCAAGCTCCGCCTCCCAGGTTCACGCCATTGTCCTGTCTCAGCCTCCCTAGTAGCTGGGACTACAGGCACCCACCACCACGCCCAGCTAATTTTTTGTATTTTTATTAGAGACGGGGTTTCACCATGTTAGCCAGGATGGTCTCAATCTCCTGAGCTTGTGATCCACCCACCTCGGCTTCCCAAAGTGCTGGGATTACAGGCGTGAGCCACCATGCCCTGCCGTCAGTGAAGAGTTGCCTTCACTGCCACCTTGTGAAGAGATGATTCCACCATGATTGTAAGTTTCCTGAGGCCTTCCCAGCCATGTGGAACTGTGAGTCAATTAAACCTCTCTTCTTTATAAATTACCAGTCTCAGTTATTTCTTCATAGCAGCATGAGAACAAACTAATACAGTAAATTGGTACCGAGGTAGTAGGGCACAGCTATAAAGACACCCAAAATGTGGAAGCAGCTTTGGAACTGGGTAACAGGCAGAGGCTGGAATAGTTTGGAGGGCTCAGAAGAAGACAGAAAAATGTGGCAAAGTTAGGAACTTCCTAGAGACTTGGAGGGCTCAGAAGACAGGAAGATGTGGGAAAGTTTGGAACTTCCTAGGGACTTGTTGAATGGCTTTTACCAAAATGTTGACAGTGATATAGACAATGAAGTCCAGGCAGAGGTGGTCTCAGATGGAAATGAGTAACTTGTTGGGAACTTGAATAAAGGTCACTCTTGCTATGTTTTAACAAAGAGACTGATGGCATTTTGCCCCTGCCCTAGAGATCTATGGAACTTTAAACCTGAAAGGGATGATTTAGAGTATCTGGTGGAAGAAATTTCTAAACAGCAAAGTGTTCAAGAGAAAGCAGAGCCTTAAAGTTTGGAAAATTTGCAGCCTGACAATGTGATTGAAAATAAAAACTCATTTTCTGGGGAGAAATTCAATCCTGCTGCAGCAATGTACATAGGTAACGAGGAGTCAAATGTTAATCACCATGACAATGGGAAAAACGTCTCCAGGGCATGTCAGAGACCTTCATAGCAACCCCTCCCATCATAGGTCCTAGGGCCTAGGAGGGAAAAATGGTTTTGTGGGCTGGGCCCAGGGCCCCCCTGCTCTGTGCAGCCTTGGGACATGGTCTCCTGTGTCCCAGCTGCTTCAACTCCAGCCATGGCTATAAGGGGCCAAGGTATAGCTCAGGCCATTGCTTCAGAGGGTGCAAACCCCAAGGCCTTGGTGGCTTACATGTGGTGTTGGGCCTACAGGTACACAGAAGTCAAGAATTGAGGTTGGGAAACCTCCATCTAAATTTCAGAGGATGTATGGAAATGTCTGGATGTCCAGGCAGAAGTTTGCTCCAGGGGTAGAGCCTTCATGGAGAATCTTTGCTAGGGCACTGTGGAAGGGAAATGTGGGGTTGGAGCCTCCACATAGAATCCCAGATGGGACACTGCCTAGTAGAGCTGTGAGAAGAGGGCCACCATCTACCCGACCCCAGAATGGTAGATCCACTGACAGCTTGCACTGTATGCCTAGAAAAGCTGCCGATATTCAACACCAGCCTGTGAAAGCAGCCAGGGGTGGGGATGTACCCTGCAAAGCCACAGGGGCAGAGCTTCCCAAGGCCATGGGAGCCCACCGCTTGCATCAGCATGATCTAGATGTAAGACATGGAGTCAAAGGAGATCATTTTGGAACTTTAAGGTTTAATGACTGCCCTATTAGATTTCAGACTTGCATGGGGCCTGTAACCCCTTTATTTTGGCCAATTTCTCCCATTTGGAATACATGTATTTACCCAATGCCTGTACCCCCATTGTATCTAGGAAGTAACTAACTTGCTTTTGATTTTACAGCCTCATAGATAGAAGGGATTTGCCTTGTCTTAGATGAGACTTTGGACTTGGACTTTTGGATTAGTGATGGAATGGGTTAAGGCTTTGGGGGACTGTTGGAAGGGCATGATTGTGTTTTGAAATGTGAGGACACCAGATTTGAGAGGGGCCAGAGGAAGAATGATATGGTTTGGCTCTGTGTCCCCACTCAAATCTCACCTTGAATTGCAATCCCCATAATCTCCATATGTCAAGGGTGGGATCAGGTGAAGGTAATTGAATCATGGGACTGGTTTCCCCCATGCTGTTCTCATGATAATGGGTGAGTATCACAAGATCTGATTGTTTTTATAAATGTCTGGCATTTCCCCAGCTTGCACTCATTCTCTTTCCTGCCGCCCTGTGAAGAGGTACTTTCCTCAATAATTATGAGTTTCCTGAGGCCTCCCCAGCTATGCGGAACTGTGAGTCAATTAAACCTCTTTTTTTTATAAATTACCCAGTCTCAGGTATTTCTCCATAGCAGTATGAGAACAGACTAATACATCAACCTAAGTGTGGGGAGGGGAGACTAAGAAGCATTTGTGAAGTTCACAGTCCAGAGGAACAAGCTTACTAAGGACTGAGACCTAATCATAGAATTATAAAATGCTTCCTCCCCTCAACATCAGACCACCACACTACTAAAGGCCTATTTACAGCTGTTCCTTTTACCCAGTAAATCATGTCTGGTTATCAAGAAAAAATTACAAGGCATACCAAAAAGCAAAGCAAAAACAAACAAAAAAACAAAAAACATACACACACACACACACGGAGTTTGAGCTGACAGAGTAAACATCAGCACCAAACTCAGATATGGCAGAAATGCTGGAACTATCAAACTGTGAATTAAAAATAAAACAACTGTGATTAAAATGTTAAGGCTCTAGTAAATTACATAGACAACATGGAAAAACAGATGGACAATGTGAGCAGAGATATGAAAATTCTAAGAGAGACTCAAAAATAAATGTTACATTAAAAACACTATAATAGAAATAAAGAATGCTTTTTGATGGGCTTTAATAAACACATAGACAGCATGCAAAAAGAGATGGACAATGTAAGCAGAGAGATGAAAATTCTAACAAACACTTAAAAAGAAATGTTGCATATAAAAACACTGTACTAGAAATAAATAATGTTTTTGATGGGCTTGTGTGTAGACTGAACATTACTGAAAAAAGAATATTTGAAAAGAAAAAAAGACTAAAAGAAAGAACAGAATATTCAAGAACTGTGGGACTACTATAAAACATATAACATACGCATAATGGAAATACCAGAAGGAGAAAAAAGAAAGAAAAAGATGAAATATTTAATGCAACATGATTATGAATTTCCCACAAGTAGTGTCACATACCAAACCACAGATCTGGAATGCTCAGAGGACAGCAAGCAAGATAAACACCAAAATAACAACATGTATACATATCATATTCAAACTATGGTGTATCAAAAATGAAAAAAAATTCTGAACAAAACCAGAGGGAAAAAATGCCTTACCTATACAGGAGCAAAGATAAGAATTAGATCTGACTTCTCAGAATCCGTGCAAGCAAGAAGGTGGGGGGTATGAAATACTACTGTTAAAAAAAGAAGAAAAACACCAACCCAGAATTCTGCACACTGTGAAATTTTCACCCAAAAGTGAAGATGAAATAAAGACTTTCTAAGAAAAAAAAGTTGAGAGGATTTGTTGCCAGTATTTCTGTCTGACAAGAAATGGCTTTTAAGTGTTCCTCAGAAGAAAAAGTATATATGTCAGAAACTCAGGTCTACATAAAGAAAGGAAAAGCATTCATAAATGAATAAGTGAAGGTAAAATTAAAAACATTTTTCTTATTCTTAATTGATCTAACAGATTACAGTTTTCTCAAAATCATAAGAGCAACAATGTAATCAATTATATATGCATATATATGTATGCTTCTGCATGAATTAAATGAATGACAGCAATGAAAAATGAGATGAATTGGTTATTATAAGGTACTGAACTACCCATGAAGCAGTAAAGTGTTATTTGCAAATGGACTTATGTTAGTTGCAAATGTATACTGCAAACTTCAAGGCAGTCAAGGAGAAAAAAAAATCACTGATATGCTGATATGCTAAGAAGGGACAGAAAATTGAATCACATAAAATGCTTAATTAAAACCATAACTGGACCAAGCACAGTGGCTCACGCCTGTAATCCTAGCACTTTGGGAGGCCAAGGAGGGTGGATCACCTGAGGTCAGGAATTCTAGACCAGCCTGGCCAACATGGTGAAACCATGTCTCTACTAAAAATACAAAAATTAGCCGGGTGTGGTGGCATGGGCCTATAATCCCACTCAGGAGGCTGAGACAGGAGAATCACTTGAACCTGGGAGGTGGAGGTTGCAGTGAGCCAAGATGGTGCCACTGCCTGGGCGACAGAGCAGGACTCTGTTTCAAAAAACAAACAAAAAAAAAAACACAATTGATTTTTTAAAATAGTGCAAAAAAATAGAAAAAAAGAATAAGGGAAACAAATGGAAAACAGTAACAAATATGACATATTTTAACCCAACTATATTAATAATCATGTTGAACACTCATTATCTCAACACACCAATTAAAAGACAGATATTGTCAAAATAGATTTTAAAAACTCAACTATATAGCCAGGCATGGTGACTGAATGCCTGTAATCCCAGCACTTTGGGAGGCCGAGGCAGTTGGATCACTTGAGGCCAGGAGTTAGAGACCAGCCTAACCAACATGACAAAACCTCATCTCTACTATAAATACAAAAATTAGCCAGGCATGGTGGCACACACCTGCAATCCCAGCTACTCAGAGGCTGAGGCATGAGAATATCTTGAACCTGGGAGGCAGAGGTTGCAGTGAGCTGAGATCGTGCCATTGCACTCTAGCCTGGGTGATGGAGTGAGACTCTATCTCAAAAATTAATTAATTAATTAATTAATTTAAAAAAATAAAAACTCACCAGGGCATGGTGGCTCATGTCTGTAATCCAACACTTTGGGAGGACAAGGCAAGCGGATCATTTGAGGTCAGGAGTTCAAAACCAGCCTGACCACCATGGTGAAACCCCAACTCTACTAAAAAATATATATATACAAAAAAAAAAAAAATTAGCTGGGCGTGGTGGCACACATCTGTAATCCCAGCTACTGCAGGAGGCTTGAGGCAGGAGAATCGCTTGAACCCATGAGACGGAGGTTGCAGTGAGCCAAGATCATGCCACTGCACTCCAGCCTGGGTGACAGAGAGAGACTCTGTCTCAAAAAATAATAATAACAATAATAAATAAAAATGAATAAAAACTCTACTATATGTTGTTTATGAGAAACTCGTCAAAATAAAAACACACATAAATTAAAAGTAATTGGATGATTAAAGATATACCATGTTAATACTAATCAAAAGAAAATGGGAGTATTTATATTAATTTTAGACAGAGCAGAATTCATAGCAAGGGAAGTTATCAGGAGAAGAAAGGAAAATTACGAAAAATAAAGGGATCCATTCTCCAAGAATAAGTAACAATCCTCTTTTTTTAAACTTCTATTTCAGGTTCAGGGGCACATGTGAACTGTTTTTACATAGGAAACCTCATGTCACAGGAGTTTGTTGTACAGATTATTTCATCACCCAGGAATTAAGCCCAGTACCCAATAATTATCTTTTCTGCTCCCCACCCTCCTCCCACCCTCTACCCTCAAGAAGACCCCAGTGTCTGTTGTTTCCTTCCTTGTCTTCATAAGGTCTCATCATTTAGTTCCCACTTATAAGTGAGAACATGCAATATTTGGTTTTCTGTTGCTGCGTTAGTTCGCTGAAGCTAATAGCCACCAGTTCCATCCATATTCCTGCAAAAAACATGATCTCATTCTTTTTATGGCTGCATAGTATTCCATGGTGTATATTTACCACATTTTCTTTATCCAATCTGTCACTGATGGGCATTTAGGTCGACTGCATGTCTTTGCTATTGTTAATAGTGCTGCAATGAATATTCACTTCAATAGTCTTTATGAAGAATGATTTTTATTCCACTGGGTATATATCCAGTAAGGGGATTGCTGGATTGAATGGTAGTTCTGCTTTTAGCTCTTTGAGGAATTGCCATACTGCTTTCTGCAATACTTGAACTAATTTACACTCACACCAACAGTGTATAAGTGTTCCTTTTCTCTGCAACATTGCCAACATCTGTTATTTTTTGATAGCCGCATGCATGTCTTTTTTGAGAAGTGACTGCTCGTGTCCGTTGCCCACTATTTAATGGGGTTGTTTCTTTTTCTCTTGTTTAAGTTCCTTATTAATGCTAGATATTAGACCTTCGACAAATGCATAATTTGCAAATATTTTTCCCATTCTGTAGATTGTCTGTTTATTGATAGTTTCGCTGTGCAGTAGCTCTTAAGGTTAATTAGATCCCACTTGTCAATTTTCCTTTTGTTACGTTTGCTTTTGGTGTCTGTCATGAAATCTTTGCTCATTCCTAGGTCCAGGATGGTATTGCCTAGATTGTCTTCCAGGGTTTTTATAGTATTGAGTTTTTCATTTAAGTGTAATCCATCTTGAGTTGATTTTTGTATGTGGTGTAAGGAGGGGTTCCAGCTTCAGTCTTCTGCATATGACTAGCCAATTATTCCAGCACCATTTGTTGAATAGGGAGTCTTTTCCCCATTGCTTGTTTCTGTCAGCTTTGTTGAAGATCAGGTGATTGTAGGTGTGCAGCCTTATTTCTGAGCTTTCTACTCTCTTCCCTTGGTCTATATGCCTGTTTTTGTACCATTACCATGATGTTTTGGTTAGTGTAGCCCTGTAGTATAGTTTGAAATCAGGTGATGTGATGACTCCAGCTTTGCTCTTTTTGCTTAGAATTGCCTTGGCTATTTGGCTCTCTTTTGGTTCCATAGAATTTTAAAAGAGTTGTTTCTAGTTCTGTGAAGAATGTCATTGGTAGTTTGATAGGAATAACATTGAATCTGTGAGTTGCTTTGAGAAGTATGGCTATTTTAATGATATTGATTCTTCCTACCCATGAGCATGGGATGTTTTTCCATTTCTTTGTGTCATCTCTGATTTCTTTGAGCAGTGTTCTGTAATTTTCATTGTAGAGATATTTCACCTCCCTGGTTAGCTGTATTCCTATGTCTTTATTATTTTTGTGGCAACTGTGAAGGGGTCTGCCTTTCTGATTTGGCTCTTGGTTTGGCTGCTGTTGATGTATAACAATCCTAGTGATTTTTGTACATTGATTTTGTACCCTGAAACTTTGCCAAAGTTATTTATCAGCTGAAGGAATTTGGGACCAAGACTATAAGGTTTTCCATATACAGAATAGTGTCATCCACAAACACAGATAGTTTGACTTTCTGTCTTCCTATTTGGATGCCCTTTGTTACTTTCTCTTGCCTTATTGCTCTGGGTAGGAATTCCAATACTACTTTGAATAGGATTGTGAGAAAGGGCATCCTTATCTCATGCCAGCTTTCAAAAGGAATGCTTCCAGCTTTTGTCCATTCAGTATAATGTTGGCTGTGGGTTTGTCATAGATGAATCTTATTATTTTCAGGTATGTTCCTTCAATACCTAGTTTATTGAGAGCTTTTAACATGAAGAGGTGTTGAATTTTATCAAAAGCCTTTCTTCATATATTGAGATAATTATGTGGTTTTTGTCTTTAGTTCTGTTTATGTGATGAATCATATTTATCTATTTGTGTACATCAAACCAACCTTGCATCCCAGGGATGAAGCCTACTTGATTGTGGTGAATTAGATTTTTGATGTGTCGCTGGACTTGATTTGCAAGTATTTTGTTGAGAATTGTTGCATCGATGTTCATCAAGGATACTGGCCTGAAGTTTTCTTTTTTTTGTTGTGTCTCTGCCAGGTTTTGGTATTAGGATGATGCTGGCCTAACAGAATGAGTTGGGGAGAAGTCCCTTCTCCTCAATTTTTTTGTAACAGTTTCTGCAGAAATTGTACCAGCTCTTCTTTGTACATCTGGTGGAATTCAGCTGTGAATCCATCAGCTCCTGGGCTTTTTTTGGTTGGTAGGCTATTACTGTTTCAACTTCAGAGCTCATTGTTGGTCTGTTCAGGGAATCAACTTCTTCCTGGTTCATTCTTTGGAGGATCTAAATGTCCAGAACTTTAGCCACATCTTCTAGGTTTTCTAGTTTGTTTTCATAGAGTTGTTCATGGTAATTTCTGGTGGTTGCTTTTATTTCTGCGGGGTCATTGGTAAAATTCCCTTCATCATTTCCGATTGTGTTTATTTGGATCTCCTCTCTTTTCCTCTTTATTACTCTAGCAAATGGCCTATTTTATTAAATTTTTCAAAAATCCAACTATTGGATTCATTCACTGTTTGAAAGGCTTTTTGTTTCTCAGTTTCCTTCAGTTCAGCTCTAATTTTGGTTATTTCTCATCTTCTGCTAGCTTTGGGGTTGATTTGTTCTTGCTTCTTTAACTCATTCAGTTGTGAGGTTGTTAATTTGAGATTTTTTAAAAACTTTTTGATGTGAGCTTTTAGTGCTATGAATTTCCCTCCTAACACTGTCTTAGCTATGTCCCAGATATTCTGGTATGTTGTAGTTTTGTTCTCATTAGTTTCAAAGAATTTCTTCATTTCTGCCTTAATTTCATTATTTACCCAAAAGTCATTCAGGAGCATGCTGTTTAATTTCCATGTAATTGCATGGTTTTGAGCTATTTTCTTAGTCTTGACTTCTATTTTTATTGCACTGTAGTCCAAGGGTGTTTGTTATGATTTTTTTATTCTTTTGCATTTTTAGAGGATTGTTTTTATGTCCAATTATTTGTTCAATTTTAGAGTATGTGCCTTGTGGCAATGAGAATGTATATTCTGTTGTTTTGAGGGGGAGAGTTCTGTAGATACTCATCAGATCCATTTGGTCCAATGTTGAGTTCAGGTCCTAAATATCTTTGTTAATTTCCTGCCTTGATGATCTGTCTAATACTGTCAGTGGAGTGTTGAGGTCTCCCACTTTATTGTGTGGGAGTCCATGTTTCTTTGTAGGTCTCTAAGAACTTGCATTATGAATCTGAGTGCTTCTGTTAGATGCATATATATTTTGAATAGTTAGGTCTTCTTGTTGAATTGAACCCTTTACCATTATCTAATGCCCTTCTTTGTCTTTTTTGGTCTTTGTTGGTTTGAAATCTGTTTTGTCTGAAATTAGGATTGCAACTCCTGCTCTTTTCTGTTTTCCATTTGTTTGGTAGATTTTCCTCCCTTTATTTTGAGCCTATGTGTGTCATCACGTGTGAGACAGGTCTCTTGAAGACAGCATACCATCAGGTCTTGCTTTTTTAAATCTTCCTGGCCACTCTGTGCCTTTTAAGTGGGGCTATCTATTTATATTCAAGATTGGTATTGATATGTGTGGATTTGATCCTGTCATTATGTTGTTAACTGGTTATAATGTTGACTTGTTTGTGTAGTAGCTTTAAAGTTATACTGGTCTGTGTGTTTATGTGTGTTTTTGTATAAGCTCGTAGTGGTCTTTCCTTTCTATATTTAGTGCTCCTTTCAAGATCTCTTGTAAAGCACGTCTGATTGTAATGAACTCCTTCAACGTTTGCTTATCTGAAAAGAATCTTATTTCTTCTTTGCTTAGGGAGCTTGGTTTGGCTGGATGTGAAATTCTTGGTTGAAGAATCTTTTCTTAAGAGTGTTGAATATAGGCCCTCAATCTCTTCTGGCTTATAAGGTTTCAGCTGAGAAATCTTCTGTTAGCCTGATAGTGTTCCCCTTCTAAGTGACCTGCCCTTTCTCTCTAGCTTCCTTTGCCATTCTTACTTTCATTTGATTTTGGAAAATCTAATGATTTTGTGTCTTGGGGATGATCTTCTGGTTAATCTTGTAGGAGTTCTCTGTAGTTCTTGAATTTGACTGTTGGCCTCTCTAGCAAGGTTGGGGAAGTTTTCATGGATGATATCTTGAAATATGTTTTCCAAGTTGTTTGCTTTCTACCCCTCCCTTTTAGGGATGCCAATGATTTGTAGATTTGGCCTCTTTCCACAATCCCATACATCTCGGAGGTTTTGTTCACTTCTTTTTACTCTTATTTATTTATTTTTGTGACTGTCTTTTTCCAGAGAACCAGTCTTCAAGTTCTGAGATTCTTTTCTCAGCTTGGTTTATTCTGCTGTTAATACTTGTGATTGCATTGTGAAATTATTGTATTATGTTATTCAGCTTTGTCAGATCCATTAGGTTGTTTTTATACCAGCTATTTTATCCTTTAATTCCTGTACTGCTTTATTGTGATTCTCATTTTTTTTAATTGGGTTTTCCATCCTCCTGAATCTTGATGACTTTTAGTCCTATCCATATTCTGAATTCTATTTCTGTCATTCCAGCCAGTTCAGCCTAGTTAAGAACTCTCATTGGAGAACTGGTGCAGTCTTTTGGAGGACATACAACATTCTGGCCATTTGAGTTACTGGCATTCTTGCACTGGTTCTTCCTCATCTTTACATGAGGTATTCCTTTAACTGCAGTGTAAATTGAGTACAGTCAATAGACTTCTTTTCTGGATTTTTTCACGGGAAAAAGACTTTGTGCAGGGTCTTTATTTGAAGTTGACTTTTCGTCTCTGGTTTCAGAGTGGGTATGTTAGTGAGGTATTTTTGGTGTTGAAGCTTTGGGGTGTGATTCAGTAGGTGGCACTTAGGCTTATTAGTCAGTTGGTACACTCTTTCTTGGTCATGTGGCTTCCCTGTTTCTTCACAATTGCAGCTACATTCCCTCTCAATGCTCTGAAAGTGTGGGTGCCTCTCCCCCTTTAGTTCTGGCTGTAGACAGTGGTTTGGCACTCCTAGGCTGTCTACTGCAGCTCTGGGTGGTCAATCTAATGTTTATGTTCCTTCCCCAGCTTGTTTGCAGCAGAGGAAGGAACCTTAGTAGTGGTCATGGCCAAGGGTCCCTTGCTCATCTCCTGGGGACTCCACTCTAGAGATACACAGGTCAGCAATTGTTTGGTACAATCAGCCTAGGATGGAGGGTCTGTGCTGTGGGCCCAAGCCAGGGGTCCCTGTCTGATGATGAGCAGTGGAGGGTGTGTGGAGCACATGGGAGAGGGACTGGCTTCTTCTCCTTGGGTTGATTGCAGCCTGTTGGAAGTGTGGATAAAGCACGTGGGGTCTTTGTTCTTTTGTTAGTCTGAGGGTAGCAAAGACAGTTCTACTGCAGAGGCAGTGGCAGAGAGGTTTTCAGTTGCCCCTGGAAGCTCTGCCCAGGGAGTTGTCAAGTTGTTACTAGTTTAATAGCTCTGGCAGCGGGTGGCTGGAGGTCCAGGCCTGAAGGACCTTCCCAGTGAGGAGATATGGGAACAGGAACCCACATAACCGTCTAGCCACTTTTCCATAGGGCTGCTGTGGTATCCTGGGGACCTGCTCCAGTTTCTACTTGCCTGTGGTTTTCCAGTACCTGGAGGTATCACCAGTGAAGGCTGCAAAACAGCAAAGATGGCAGCCAAAGATGGGAGCTCCATCCCAGGGAGGTACAGACCTGTTGCCAGCCTGAACACATCTGTAGGAGGTAGCTGGAGACCCCATTTGAGAGGTCTTGCCCGGTGAGGAGGAATGGAATTGGGGACTCACTTAAAGAAGCAGTTTGGCCACGTTTTCATAGAGCATGTGTGCTATGCTGAGGGTCTGCTTCAGCCCCTGGTAGCCTCAGACATTCCAAAGCCCAAAGGCCAGAATAGCTAAGTCACCTAAATAGCAAAGATGGCAGCATGCCCCTACTTCTGGGAGCTCCATGCCAGGGAGGTTAGAAAGCTCTGTTAGCCAGAGAACACTGGTGGGGTAGTTGGAGACCCCAACTGGGAGGCCCCACATGGTGATGAGGAACAGAATTGGGGACCTGCTTTAAAAAGCAATCTGGCCACATTTTTGTAGAGTAGCTGTGCTGTTCTGGGGGATCCCTTCCATCCCTTGTCAGCTTGGACTCCCCAAGGCCCGAAGACTAGAGTGGCTAAGTCACCCAAACAGCAAAGATGGCTGCCCACTCCTCCCCTGGGGAGATCCATCCCAGGGACGTGCAATGCTGCTACCAGTGGCTGGCTGGAATTCCAAGCCTGTGGGTCCTATTCTATGAGGTGCTGTGGAAGTGGGGCCTGTAGACTGTCACTGCTGAGTGTCCTGGATTCAGCCTCTTTCCCTAGGGGTATGTACAGGAGTCTAACTGCCAGCTTTGCCAGAGTTGCAGTTACTTTTGCTCTGGGAAGTCCAGAGAGCCCAAGTGTCTAAGGCTCCTAGGTCTCTGCAAGTGCCTACATGGCTACTCTGCAGAGACTCCATGTAGTTCTGTATGTCAGACTGAAGGCCTGGTGGACTGGGTTCATGAGGGGATATCCTGACCCAAAGGTTGCAAAGATCCATGAAAGAAGTGTGGGTTCCCGGGTTACACATTCACTTACTGCTTCCCTGGGCAAGGGAGGTTCCCTTGGCCCCGCATCACTCCCAGGTGGGCTGTTGTCCTGCCTTGCTTTCCTCCATTCTCCATGGGTCAAGTTGTTTCCTTGATCAGTCCCAGTGCTAGTAACTGGATGTTTCAGTTGAAGATCCTGTATTTAATCACCCCTTCTGTTCATCTCTGTGAGAGCTACGCACACTAGCTGCTTCTAGTCGGCCATCTTTGCCACCTCCAAATAACAATTCTTATTGTGTATACATCTATCAGAGCATCAAAATACATGAGGCAAAAACTGATAGAACTGCAAGAATAAATAAATAAATCTACTTCAACACCCATCTATCAGAAATGGGCAGATCTAGCAGACAGAAAGTCAGTAAAGACATAGTCAAACTGAACAACACTGGATATAATTGACATCTGTAGACTACTTCGTCTAACATCAGCAAAATACAGATTCTTCTCAAGCTCACATGAAACATTTACCAAGATATATCACACTTTGAGCCATAAAACACAGCTTAACAAACTTAAAAGAATAGAAATAACAGAATATCTGCTCTCAGATCAAAATGGAATTAAACTAGAAACAACAATGGAAAGATAGTTGGAATGTCCAAAAGTACTTGGAGATTAAACAACACACTTCTAAATGACATGTGGTACAATGAAGAAATCTCAAGAAAATTTTAAAAATTGAATTAAATAAAAATAAAAACATAACATCAAAATGTATGGGATGCAGCTTGCAAATAAATTTATGACATTAAATGTATTAATAAATATTTTAAAAGAAGAAAATTCTAATATCAACCATCTAAGATTTTACCTTTGGAAACCAGAACAAGAGAAAATTAAATTGAAAATAAGCAAAAAAAAAAAAAAGAAATAATAAAAAATTATTGCATAAATCAATGAAATTAAAAACAGGAAATCAATAAACAAAATCAATAAACCCAAACTGATTCTTTAAAAATATAAACAAAATTGACAAGCCTCTTCCAGGCTCACTAATAAAAAAGAAAGACAGATTACTAATATTAGAAATAAAAAGGGACATCACTACAGATCCTACAGACATTAAAAGGATGATCAAAGAATACTATGAAGAACTTTAAGGCCATATATTTGATAACTTGAATTAAATGGATTAATTCTTTGAAAGAAACAATCTGTCAAAAGTCACACAAGAAGAAACAGACTATCTGAATAGGCCAATATCTATTAAAGGAATTGAATCAATAATTAATAGTTTTTCAAAATAGAAAGTATTAGACCCAGATGGGTTTACTGGTGAAGTCTACCAACATTTAAGGAAGAAATTAAACCAATTCTGAAAAATCTCTTTCAGAAGATAGAAGCAGCTATGTCCCTCTTTTATTTGTGATATTAGTCACTTATGTTTTCTCTCTTTTTGCTTAGCCTGGCAAGGGGCTCATCAATTTTATTAATGTTTTCAAAGAAATAGATTCCAGTTTCATTGACTTTGTTTATTGATTTTCTGTTTTCAATTTCATTAATTTATGCAATAAGTTTTATTATTTCTTTTCTTGTGCTTATTTTGGATTTATTTTTTCTTCTTTTTCTAGTTCCTTAAGGTGACAGCTTGGATAATTGATGTTAGGTCTGTCTTCTTTTCTAATATATCTTTCCTAACTCCTGAGGCCAGCATTCCCATAATACCAAACAGATAATGACATTACAAGAAAAAAAATATATCTCATGAACACTGATGCAAAAATCCTCAACAAAATATTAGCAAATCAAACCCAACAATGTATGCAATGAATTATATACCATAACCAAGTGGGATTTATCCCATGCATAGAAGGCTGGTTCAATGTGCAAAAATCAATTAGTACAATTCATCACATCAAAAGGCTAAAGAAAAAAAACACATGATCATATCAATAGATGTAGAAAAAACATTTTTTCAAAATCCAACACTGATTCATACCAAAAAACAAAACAAAACTCAATAGACAAGGAATAGAGGGGAATAGCCTCAATTTGGTAAAGAACTTCTACAAGGAACCACAATTCCCATTACCCTTAATTCTAAGAAACTTTGAGGAAAGCATCCCTCTAAGGTCAGGAACAAAGCAAGATATTTCCCCTCACCACTCTTTTTCAATTTTATACTGGAAGTTCTAGATAGGGCAATAAGAGAAGAAAAAGACATAGAAGTATACTACTGATTAGGAAGGAAGTAGTATAACAGTCTTCGTTCATAGGTGACATGATCATCTATGTAGAAAATCAGAAAAAATCAACTAACAAAACTCCTGGAATTAATAAGTGATTATAGCAAGGTTGCAAGACACAAATGTAACACACAATCACTTTCTCATATATCAACAATGAACAAGTGGAACGTGAAATTTAAAACACAGTACCATTTACAGTAGCACTCACAAAACTGAAAAACTTAAGTATACATTTAACTAAATATATACAAGATTTGTATGAGAAAAATTGCAAAACTCAGATAAAAGAAATCAAAGAAGAATTAAATAAATAGAGAGATATTCCATATTCATGAATAGGAAGATTCAATATTGCCAAGATGTCAGTTCTTCCCAACTTGATCTACAGATTCAATGCAATCTCAATTAAACTCCCAGCAAGTTATTTTGTGGATATCGACAAACTAATTCTAAAGTTTATATAGAGAGGCAAAAACATCCAGCAGAGTTAATGCAATATTGAAGGAGAATAATAAAGTCAAAGGACTGATATTACCTGACTTCAAGACTTATAAGTCTATAGTAATCAAGAGAATATGTTATTGGAGAAAAAAACAGGCAAATAGATAAACAGAACAGAATAGAGAGCTCAGACATAGACCCATATAATATAGGCAACTGACCTTTGACAAATGGATGAGGGCAACACAGTGTAGTAGAGATAATTTTTTCAACAAATTATGCTGGAAAAACTGAACATCCCTATGCAAAAAAAAAAAGAAGTAGAATAACCTAGATGCAGACTTTACACCCTTTACAAAATGAACTCAAGACATATCACAAACATAAATGTAAAATGCAAAACCATAAAACTCCTGGAAGATAACATAGGAAAATATCTAGATGACCTTGGGTTTGGTGATAACTTTTTATCTAAACACCACTTTGTATCCCAATGCCAAAAGTACAATCCACAAAATAAAGAATTGATAAGCTGAACTTGATTAAAATTAAAGTGTTCTTCTCTGTGAAGGACTTTGTCAAGAGAATAAAAAGTCAAGTCACAGACTGTGAGAAAATATTTGCAAAGATATATCTGATATCTGATAAAGAAATGTTATCCAAAATATATAAAGAACTCTTAAAACTTAACAATAACAAAAAAAACAACCCAACTAAAAGCTGGGCCAAAGACAAGAACAGACACCTCACCAAAGAAGATATACAGATGGTAAACATGCATATGAACAGGTGCTGCACGTTATATGTTATCAGGAAAATGCAAATTCAAACAAGGAGCTACCAATACATGCCTATTAAAATGGCCCAAATCCAGAACACTGACAACACCAATTGCTGGTGAGGATGTGAAGCAACAGGTACTCTCATTCATTGCTGTTGGCAATGCAGAATGGTACAGCCACTTTGGAAGGCAGTCTGGCAGTTTTCTACAAAATTAAACATACTCTTACCACATGATCTAGCAATCACTCTTGTTCGTATTTACCCAAAGGAGTTAAAAATTTTTGTCTACACAAAACCCTGCACATGGCTGGTTACAGAAACTTTGTTTATGATTGTTAAACCTTGGAAGCAACCAAGATTTCCTTAAGTAGATAAATAAATAAATAAACTGTGGTACATCCAGATAAAGGAATTATATTCAGTGTGGTCCCCCCAAAATGAAATACTTAGATATATATTTAACTAAATATTTACAAGATCTATTTGAGAAAAACTATAAAACTCTGATGAAAGAAATCAAAGAATTAAATGAGTGGAGAGACATTCTATGTTCATGGATAGGGAAACTCAATATTGTCGAGATGTAAGAATCTAAAGATCAACATAGGTCTATTGATTGATTTAACAAGCCATCAATCAACCCATCTGAAAAGGCTATATACTGTTAGATTTCAACTATATGACATTTTATAAAAGGCAAAACAATGGAGATAGTAATATAATCAATGGTTAGGGAGGAGGGAGGCATGAAAAGGCAGAGCACAGAGGATTTTTAGGACAGTAAAACTACTCATTGTGATACTATAATGACAAATACATGTCATTATACATTTGCCCAAACCTATAAAATGTACACTACCAAGAGTGAACCCTAATGTAAACTATGAGCTTTGGGTGATAATAATGTATATTTATCAATTGTAACAAATGTACCCTGTGGATGGATGCAGAGAGGATGTTGATAATAGAGGAAACTGCATATGTGGGGACAGTGAGTATATGAGAAATCTCTGTATCTTCCACTCAACCTAACTAAAACTACTCTAAAACTAGTCTATCTTTTAAGAAAGTATCTTAGAGTGATACACAATAATTTCTAACATCACTATCAAATTAGTAAAAAGAAGCACCAACACTGGATGTTTGCATTAAAAAAATTAAGTGAAGCTTAGAGAATACATTTAAGCCTTAAGGTGAAGTGCAGAAAGAGTTAATGGGAAAGACTGGTGTCTGGTAGTGCCCCATCTTTTGTTGTTGTTGTTGTTGTTGTTGTTGTTTCTTACTCACTCTACCTCCATGAAGAGCACCTAAAGACATATTTAGTAGCCAAGACTAGTCAATAATAAGTTTCTATACTTGCTTGTTTTAAATTAGAAACAAATTGGTACATAGAAAAGCTAATATTGATATAAAGACTTTGTTACATAAATATGAGCAATGTCCACAAGCCTGAGATGGTAAAGTATGACCCATAACTTCTCTTCTTCCAGATGATCCCTGGAGCCTTTTCTGAAGAATGCACACTTATCCTTGCCTCCACCTCAGTCCGAGAGTAGGGTTCACCACCTTTCTTGACACAATGTCCACCATTCAGGTGCTTTTCAGCCTGCAGTAGTTTGGTCTTCTAACTCTACTGGGAATTGATTCAAGGCAGAAATGTGCTGCTGAGTGTCTTCCTGGTGATATGGATGAAAACAACAAGTTTTGTGGGGATTTATAGTTATCCTCTAAACCATTTCTTCTGTAAACTACATCACTCCTTTGTGGGGAATGGCCAGAAACAATCTCAGTCCCAACTTTTATGGGAAAAAGAATTTCCTGAGTTACTTCTGAAGTGATCTCACTCACATATTATGTAGGAAAAGCTTTTACTAAGCTTTACATAGCAAAAATGTTGGTCATAAAAAACATGCTTACCACAGACAAACCTCACTTCTAAAAAGCAACACCAACATTTCAGCTTCAACCCTGATGACCTCTATATCTCACATCCCTTCACTTATACTTTCTTTGCACTGTATGGCCAATGCCTCCCCAGCCCTAAATACAAAGCTTTCTTAATCACTTTCACACCTACCTGACTCTCATTCTGAGAGATGGCAGAAGCCCAGTATTTCTAGGCTTATTGTAATGCTAGCAACGTTTATTGTAATGACAACCAGTTTCAATAAGCTACCAGTTGACATGTCAATTCCTCTGAAAACACTAATTTTGACACTTGGAATGATTTAAGGAGAGCACAAGAGAATGGAGGAAATGAACCCATCTTGAAGCCTGGCCATTGTGACAGCCTCTCACTATGTGACAGTCATTTCACACAGAGTGAGTTCTAAGGTATAACACATCTTCTTTTTTTGTTTTTTTTTTTTTTTTTTGAGATGGAGTTTCACTTTTGTTGCCCAGGCTGGAGTGTAATGACACAATCTCAGCTCACTGCAACCTCCACCTCTCGGTTCAAGCGATTCTCCTGCCTCAGCCTCCCAAGTAGCTGGGATTACAGGCATGCACCACCACACTTGGCTAAATTTTTGTATTTTTAGTAGAGACGGGGTTTCTCCATGTTGGTCAGGCTGGTCTCGAACTCCTGACCTCAGGTGATCCACCCACCTCGGCCTCCCAAAGTGCTGGGATTACAGGCATGAGCCACCATGCCCGGCCTGGTATAACACATCTTCCAAGACAAGACATCTGTGGGAGTCACTAGACAGCCTCTGGTGGGAACAAGAAGTATTTCAAGAACCAGCTTCATCATAATTGTCCTTCAGTGACTCTGCACAGAGCCAAAATATCACCTTTCTTTACTCCAGAATAGATGGCCCCTCCTCCAGTCACTCCTGTCAAAACTCTGTACTCCACACCCTTCCCTAGGATTCCTCCAAATCCTCACAATCAGATAAAAGCACTGCCTTTGCTCAACCTCCATAGCATTATGTATCTATTGGATATTTTAAATATTCAATTTGCATTACAAATGTGTAATTGTTTAATCTCTTTATTAACTGGTAAAAAGGCAAGAACATTTTTTTAACCACCCCAGGACCTAGTGCTATACCTTGACCTAGTAGGAACTCGGTATTTGCCACTACTAAATACAGATGGTCTGCCACCATCACCAGTATGTTGCTAAGATTAATATTTATTTTTATTATCCTAATATATTTGAAAGCTTCAAAAAGAGACAGTGTAATAAATCCCAATACAAAAATTTGCTAGGATTCAATTAGAGCTTTTATGCTTTTTTTTTTTTTTTTTAAAAAAAGATTACTTAGTCCAAAAATCTAGGATCTAAGGATTTTTTTATGTAAGTCATTGGATGTAAGCAGAAATATGTAATATGATAAAGCAACATTTAAATTATTAATAACAATTAACCATAGTAGAACAGAGTGCTTTTCTTTTTCTGCCACTGAAATGTACATTCTGTCCCTTTAGAGGATGGTTATGTAACATGCCATTGAAATCCTACCTGCCCCATCTCAAAACTGGTAGGGTGCCTGCTTGCCAACTCCAAATGTCTTACATTTCTTCTTCTATTTCATCCTAAGAATTACCCAGTCATTTTCATCAGGCTTCCATTCCAGGACTCCTCCTGTAGCCCAATGTTGCAAACAGGTGCAGTCAGCAAGGGTGCCAAGTGACAGGAGCCAATCCTGGAAATCAGAGTTAGAGAATCTCTCTCTCTCGCTCTCTCTCTCTCACACACACACACACACACATATGTACACACACACATGATACCCAAGCTAACCACAGTTATCAGAATCACTGAGTTGTGAAAATAGTTCATTTTGCAATCACTATGTTAATTAGTTAATCATTGCAAAGATTAGCGATGGTGACAACCTTTGGTTTGTGCTCCTTTAAACTAGTTAACTATGGAATGGAAAATCAAAATCACAGCTGAAAATGTCAGAGAGAGTTGCCTGTTTTCTTCACAAACACAGAGCCATAGACACTTCAACAACAAATGATTCCAGTGGGGCAATAGAGAAATGAAAGGCAGGATCACACGAGATTGGCTTCTGAGGTACCCACCTCTCCCATGGGGGCCTTAACTCTGATTTCTTATTCAGTGGGCCTGGGGATTTGGTTCAATCTCTTAGTTACACGGATGAGGTTATACAGATGAGAAGAGATCCATGCAGCACACACATCCTGGGAGCCTACAGAGCCAGTGCTTCTGAAACAGTGAGGAAATCAGGGGTTGCTCAGCAGACAGTTTGGGAGGAAGCAGGAAGCCAGGAACACTGAGTCTTATTCATTTTCTTTAATGCAAGGTAGTAGAGCACATAACAGGGCAGGAGTTCTCCAAGTGTGGACCCCAGACAGGACCAGCAGCATCAGCATCACCCTCAAATGTGTTAGAAGAGCAAATTCTTGGATCCTACTCTGGATCTATTGAATCACAAATTCTGGAGTTGGAATGCAGAAATCTATGTTTAAACAAACTCTTCAGATGTTTTTGATGCATTCCAATGTTTGAGAACCCTGCAACAGGAGATAGTCAGTAATCATTTGTATTGCCTTTTGAGAAAGCTCAACTTGCTTCTAGATATGGGTGGACCTAGATCTGGAAACTCACTGAAGACCTCACTGCCAATAGACTGTGAAGGTCATAGTGAGAATTTGAGAATTCCTATCTCTTTCCTATCCAGAGTAACTGATCAGTTCTCACAGTTTCCAGGAATGGACATCCCGCTGAGTTCCCTCCATTAGGACCTGCTGTGGGACAAAGTTGCCTACATCATTATCATCATCACCATCACCACCAGCATCATCATCATCACTGCCAACATTTACACAGTGGTTGCTATTTGCCAAGCACAATTATTAGAACTTTATAAATATTTATCCACTTAATCTTCACACACACACACACACATCATGAGGTTGTACTATATTTGTATTCTCCCCATTATACAGATGAGGGGACTGAAACAAAGAAAGATTAAGTGATCCTTCAATAATTTCACCACCCCTAAGGGTCAGAACAGGGTTTTGAACCCAAGTAAACTGCCTCCTGAACTCTATTCATGAACTCTGCACAAGAAAGGCAACCTAGATAGTGGTTGAGACCTCCTGATTTGGAGCCAGGATATCTGGATTTTAGTCTGGCGGCAGCACTTACTATTATCGGTCATCTATTAATTGTCTGGCCTCTAGTCTCACCCTTTCCTAAAAATCCATCTTCCAAATGCTAAAATAATTATCTCTCATATGCAAATATGTTCTTGCCATTATCCTTCTTAAAATTTTTCCATTACTCATGTTCCCTGTAAGATAAAATCTAAACATACTTTGCCATTAAAAAGGAGTAACTGCCCACTCATCCTGCTTCATCTTCTACCATTCTTTCCCACATGCTAAGCCTCAGCCATCCCAAACACCTCACTATTCCTTGAATAAGCCAGCCCATAATTCCTAGAAGGAAATTTCCTATCATCCAAAGTTTCTCTCACTTGGAAAATTCCTAGTTACTTTTAGTTTTGGCTAACCACTGCTTTCTCTGGGGAAGCCTTCCCTGGGTGCCCCCTATACAGGCATACAGCATTCTTTTCTTTCTGCTTTCATTAGTCATATCTCCTTCATCACAGTGGCCCTGATATTGCATTGGAATTACCTGCCTATCTCTCCTGCACCTATGAGTCTTCGAGAGCAGAAACTGTCATTTCATCTTCATCATAGCCCCAGTGCATATCGTAAGTGCAAATAAATATTGGTTAAATGAATGAATGAAGTTAATAAGACCAGTGCACCCTCTCACTGCAGGGAAGGCAAAAGACAAGGTTAAAGGATAACTAGAGAGACAAATGAAGTAGTAATGAAGTGATACTAGTTGGTGTGAGATAATGCTCCAGGAATCCAATGTAGAAACAATGAAGCAGTCTTAAGCACATGGTTGAACTTGATATGCTTCATTTCCTCACATGACATCACTCAGATAGCTTCAATTGGGCATCCAATCTTAGGAATCATTTAGCGGAAAATATCTTTACCTATCCAAAGATTTTTTTTTAGTAACTGGCACAAAATTTTGAAAGTCCCAATAGGATTTTCCTATCATGGCTGTGGAAAGGGGTTCTCCTGATGGATGTTTAGCTCAAAGCTGCAGTGATGAGAGGGCTCACCCCAAAAATGACCATTCACAAAGGCCACATGGAGGAATAAGTGGCAGCAATGGCTGTCATGAAAGAAAAGATCTGAAACTTATCTGAAGATATGAGAAGCCCAGACTTGAATCTTTAACCATCAAACATCTATGTCTTAAACTAAAAAAGATTTTTTCTTAAACTTAAATTTTCTTTCACTAAGAATAATATGAAACTATCAAAAATACATCTAGTATTTCATTATAGTAGCTTGCATGGTTTAATAGTGCATCTAACAGTCCTTGCCTGATGATTGAGTTCAGTCTGTTTGTGGCTAATTTTAATACTATTATGCCACTATTATTTATTTATTCCAACATAATTTGTTATAATACCTATTATGTCATAACATATATAATACACACATATAAAATATATTAAAAATATATGCATATATGTATGTGTGTGTTTGTGTGTATATATATATAGAGAGAGAGAGAGCGAGAGAAATAGATATCAATATATCAAGGAAGAGTAAAATGTTAAACTGAAAAACAAATCCTAGTGGCATACTAATTTACCAAAAACCTTCCATATTAAAAAGCTTCAGAATTTTTTTCAAAGAATTGCTCTAGAAAGTCACAGTCAGCTCAAAATTGTTCCCGGGGTGAACTTTTCTAGATTTTCACTTCCAATCATTGTTTAAAATTTGCCAGATAATAAAAGAGGGAGGCATCATCAAGGGAATGATCTAAGACCTTTGGACACACTCCTGAAAACTCTAAAAGAGGCTATTTACCAAATATAACACAACCATAATTCTAAATGTGAGGTAAAAATATCTTTAAAAGCAGCAATGATATCAAGAAACATGTTGAACCCCTGCTCTCTGTTGTCCTTTTCAGGATGCACATGGCCCCAGTCCTTCATGGGTTACACATAGTTGATTAGACAGATACAGGCATAAATACAAACAGATGACAAAATTAAGAAGAGAGTCTATCCTAAGCCTTACAGGATCAGTACAAATCAAAAGCGTACTTCAAGAATCTGGAGTGGGAAGAGATCCCATAGTGAATAACGAAGCCCTTATGAAAAAAAAAAAAACACAAAATGAGGGAGGGAGGGAGAGAGAGAGAAAGTGAGAGAAGAGACCTTGAAGTCTTCACAGAAGAGACAATGAAGGAAGTGCAATTTGGAAGAGAAGGGTATAACACGACAGGAGTGTGAAGAGGGCAAAGGCACAGAGACAAAACGGTATGTCCTCACTGCAGGGACTTTGCACTTGCTGTTCCCTTGACTGAGATGCTTCCCCCTAGATATGCATATAGCTCACCCCTCACTTTCTCCAGGTCTTTACTCAACACCACCCTCTCAGTGGCTACCTTATCCAAAATGTCAATCCTTGCCACCCCCTAAAATTTCATATTACCTCTTCCTAAAATCTAAATACTTTAGATTTTCTCTTCAGTATTTGTCACTACCTAATCTACTTTATATTTTAATTATTTATCTTTGTTATTTTTTCTTTCTTCCACTAGAATGTAAACTCCCTAAAGCAGGAAATTTTGTTTGTTTTGTTTATTACTGGATTCCCAAAACCTAGAACGGTGCCTGGCACAGAGTAAGTACCCAGTAAATATTTGTTGAAGAAATAAATAAATCATATAGAGGACAAAGGGATTGAAGAAGAGCTATTATTAAAATATCAGTTGACAGAAATAGAAATTTTACATGGGAGAACCAGATTCACAAATTTGGGCAGACAGTATGGAGACAATTTGGAGAGAAGCTAGAATGTCCTGCCAAGGACTCATAAATAAAAGGCTCCTAGGAGAATCTGAGGGGGTCACTTTGTCTACCTCTCTCATTTCTAGGCAATTCCACACCTAAGCCATCTCAGACAAAACAAGATATTCAGCTTTCTATCTACAGAGAGTTTATTGCATGTTTCTTGTTTTGTTTTGAGACAGGGTCTTGCTCTGTTGCCCAGGTTGGAGTGCAGTGGTGGCATGACCTCAGCTCACGTCAACCTCTGCCTTCTGTGCTCAAGCCATCCTCCCAGCTCAGCCTCCCAAGTAGCTGGGACCACAGGCGTGCACCACCATGCCCGACTGCTTTTTTTTTTGTAGTTTTTGTAGAGACGAGGTCTTACCATGTCACCCAGGCTGATCGTCAACTCCTGACCTCAAGTGATCTGCCCACCTTGGCCTCCCAAAGTGCTGGGATTACAAGCATGAGCCACCATGCCCAGCTCATTGCATGTTTCTTAGAAGTTGAGGCAAACATCACAAAGCTCAAATTTCTAGCCTTGCCACTCCATTTTCAACATCAGAAAGGGAAATTTACATCTTTGTGGAGCTAAGCTGCTGAACTCCTTCTCAGTGTTTCAGGTGATTGGGCCAGGATATAACTTTCATTCACTCTATTGGAAAAGCTATAAAGGGCAAGGGTGGTTTAGTGTGAACATGCATTTTTTTTCCTGCTCTGAACTCAGGGAGAAACAGCTCCCTGAAACCTACAAGAGGCCACTGGTGCATTGGCATTCACCACTATGGTTGTGCTCACAAGCAGAGGAAATTCTAAGCAGTTGGAGCCTTAAATGACAAGTATTTACTACCTGTTCGTGTGCCCTAGGCAGGGTCCTAAACTCTACCTGCATTCATTTCTGGCATCTCTCACCTGTCTATATAGATGGGAAGGAGAGGTATAAGAAGACATGAAACACAATATATTTCAAATATTCTATATGAAAAGGAATCAGACTTCTAGCCAGCTGTCACTCCATACCGAAAGCCACTGGTGTCTAGAGCATTCACAGGTGCAGGTATCCATTGGCAATGTAAGTGCCAACTCCTACCAGCAGGAAGCATGCGATTTAGAAAAGAAAATGTGTAAAAGGAAATGACATGAAAAAGAAGTGGCAGATGGGGCAGAAACAGGGAGACATCAAGTCAATCACAAACTGCACAAAGTAGGCATTCAATATTCACTTCCTTAATTACATTATTTGTTGAAAGCTGAATTTGCCTTTAAGAAACATTTACTCCTACTTAGTTTAAGTGTGTCTTCCTAGAACCAACAATAAGCTGTTGCACCAACTAGCAAAAACAAGCTTCTGACTGCATGCTCTGATTGATGAGATGAAAAAACAACATTCCTAATTAGCATTTCAAATTCATGAGTAAAATAGTCAACAGACTGCAATAAAAACAAAATAATTTAAACACACACAAGCAAATTACCCTCTTTTCTTGACTCTCTCTTTTAAATAAGGCAGGAAGATAACTTTCTGTTTTTAAATTATTTTTATTGCATTTTCACATTACATATAATACTTGCTTTTCCAATATGAACATCACACAGTTCATATTTACTTTATAGCAGGAAAGGCATAGATAATATTTACCAATTTTTTTTAACTGAAAACAGCAATGGAGGTTAAATGGATAGTGTAACTGTCACTGAACTTCTGTTTTATTTTGAGCCTAGCAATGGGTGTGTGCTTAGGTTTCCTTATATAGTTTTGTGGATTAAGGGCCTAATCCTCTGCTGTCCTATAGCTTCCATTTTTCAAATTATGCTGTTAATAATGTGATTATATATAAAAAATTACTTACAGTGCAATTTCAATGCATTTTGAAGAAGTAACTTGTGTCTTTGGAATTTAAAGTACTGATTCAAAACAAAGGAAAGATTTAATTCTTATTTTACTTTCCCCTTTACATGTCTTTATTAACCACTTTCCCACTTATATTTTGCCTATATAGGCAAAAGATACAGATTTTGCTGATATTTTAATGCTCCTGAAAATTAGTTATTTTCTTAGAACCCATAATTTCAAACATAGTAGTGTTAAGATTTTTCTGGAAAAGGAAGGGGAAAAGCTGAATACCTATCAAATACCTTTTCTGTATCTTCTTCTTTGTGTGCTGAGTGTTTTATATGACAGCTCATTTCTTTTTTTTTAAATTTTATTTCATTATTATTATACTTTAAGTTTTAGGATATATTGCACAATGTGCACGTTAGTTACATACATATACATGTGCCATGCTGGTGTGCTGCCCCCATTAACTCGTCATTTAGCATTAGGTATATCTCCTAAAGCTATCCCTCCCCACTCCCCCCACCCCACAACAGTCCCCAGAGTGTGATGTTCCCCTTCCAGTGTCCATGTGTTCTCATTGTTCAATTCCCACCTACGAGTGAGAATATGCGGTGTTTGGTTTTTTGTTCTTGCGATAGTTTACTGAGAATGATGATTTCCAATTTCATCCATGTCCCTACAAAGGACATGAACTCATCATTTTTTATGGCTGCATAGTATTCCATTGTGTATATGTGCCACATTTTCTTAATCCAGTCTATCATTGTTGGACATTTGGGTTGGTTCCAAGTCTTTGCTATTGTGAATAGTGCCGCAATAAACATACGTGTGCATGTGTCTTTATAGCAGCATGATTTATACTCCTTTGGGTATATACCTAGTAATGGGATGGCTGGGTCAAATGGTATTTCTAGTTCTAGATCCCTGAAGAATCGCCACACTGACTTCCACAATGGTTGAACTAGTTTACAGTCCCACCAACAGTGTAAAAGTGTTCCTATTTCTCCACATCCTCTCCAGCACCTGTTGTTTCCTGACTTTTTAATGATTGCCATTCTAACTGGTGTGAGATGGTATCTCATTGTGGTTTTGATTTGCATTTCTCTGATGCACAGTGATGGTGAGCATTTTTTCATGTGTTTTTTGGCTGCATAAATGTCTTCTTTTGAGAAGTGTCTGTTCATGTCCTTTGCCCACTTTTTGATGGGGTTGTTTGTTTTTTTCTTGTAAATTTGTTTGAGTTCATTGTAGATTCTGGATGTTAGCCCTTTGTCAGATGAGTAGGTTGCAAACATTTTCTCCCATTTTGTAGGTTGCCTGTTCACTCTGATGGTAGTTTGTTTTGCTGTGCAGAAGCTCTTTAGTTGAATTAGATCCCATTTGTCAATTCTGGCTTTTGTTGCCATTGCTTTTGGTGTTTTGGACATGAAGTCCTTGCCCATGCCTATCTCCTGAATGGTAATGCCTAGGTTGTCTTCTAGGGTTTTTATGGTTTTAGGTCTAATGTTTAAGTCTTTAGTCCATCTTGAATTCATTTTTGTATAAGGTGTAAGGAAGGGATCCAGTTTCAGCTTTCTACATATGGCTAGCCAGTTTTCCCAGCACCATTTATTAAATAGGGAATCCTTTCCCCATTGCTTGTTTTTCTCAGGTTTGTCAAAGATCAGATAGTTGTAGATATGCGGCGTTATTTCTGAGGGCTCTGTTCTGTTCCATTGATCTGTATCTCTGTTTTGGTACCAGTACCATGCTGTTTTGGTTACTGTAGCCTTGTAGCATAGTTTGAAGTCAGGTAGCATGATGCCTCCAGCTTTGTTCTTTTGGTTTAAGATTGACTTGGCAATGCAGGCTCTTTTTTGGTTCCATATGAACTTTAAAGTAGTTTTTTCCAATTCTGTGAAGAAAGTCATTGGTAGCTGGATGGGGATGGCATTGAATCTATAAATTACCTTGGGCAGTATGGCCATTTTCATGATATTGATTCTTCCTACCCGTGAGCATGGAATGTTCTTCCATTTGTTTGTATCCTCTTTTATTTCATTGAGCAGTGGTTTGTAGTTCTTCTTGAAGATGTCCTTCATGTCCCTTGTAAGTTGGATTCCTAGGTATTTTATTCTCTTTGAAGCAATTGTGAATGGGAATTCACTCATGATTTGGATCTCTGTTTATCTGTTATTGGTATATAAGAATGCTTGTGATTTTTGTACATTGATTTTGTATCCTAAGACTTTGCTGCAGTTGCTTATCAGCTTAAGGAGATTTGGGGCTGAAACAATGGGGTTTTCTAGATATACAATCATGTCACCTGCAAACAGGGACAATTTGACTTCCTCTTTTCCTAATTGAATACAGTCTATTTCCTTCTCCTGCCTAATTGCCCTGGCCAGAACTTCCAACACTATGTTGAATAGGAGTGGTGAGAGAGGGCATCCCTGTCTTGTGCCAGTTTTCAAAGGGAATGCTTCCAGTTTTTGCCCATTCAGTATGATATTGGCTGTGGGTTTGTCATAAATAGCTCTTCTGATTTTGAGATACGTCCCATCAATACCTAATTCATTGAGAGTTTTTAGCATGAAGGGTTGTTGAATTTTGTCAAAGGCCTTTTCTGCATCTATTGAGATAATCATGTGGTTTTTGTCTTTGGTTCTGTTTATATGCTGGATTACATTTATTGATTTGTGTATATTGAACCAGCCTTGCATCCCAGGGATGAAGCCCACTTGATCATGGTGGATAAGCTGTTTGATGTGCTGCTGGATTCGGTTTGCCAGTATTTTATTGAGGATTTTTGCATCAATGTTCATTAAGGATATTGGTCTAAAATTCTCTCTTTTGGTTGTGTCTCTGCCAGGCTTTGGTATCAGGATGATTCTGGCCTCATAAAATGAGTTAGGGAGAACTCCCTCTTTTTCTATTGATTGGAATAGTTTCAGAAGGAATGGTACCAGTTCCTCCTTGTACCTCTGGTAGAATTCGGCCGTGAATCCATCTGGTCCTAGACTCTTTTTGGTTGGTAAGCTATTGATTATTGCCACAATTTCAGAGCCTGTTATTGGTCTATTCAGAGATTCAACTTCTTCCTGGTTTAGTCTTGGGAGGGTGTATGTGTTGAGGAATTTATCCATTTCTTCTAGATTTTCTAGTTTATTTGTGTAGAGGTGTTTGTAGTATTTTCTGATGGTAGTTTGTATTTCTGTGGGATCAGTGGTGATATCCCCTTTATCATGTTTTATAGCGTCCATTTGATTCTTCTCTCTTTTCTTCTTTATTAGTCTTGCTAGCGGTCTACCAACTTTGTTGATCCTTTCAAAAAAGCAGCTCCTGGATTCATTAATTTTTTGAAGGGTTTTTTGTGTCTCTATTTCCTTCAGTTCTGCTCTGATTTTAGTTATTTCTTGCCTTCCGCTAGCTTTTGAATGTGTTTGCTCTTGTTTTTCTAGTTGTTTTAATTGTGATGTTAGGGTGTCAATTTTGGATCTTTCCTGCTTTCTCCTGTGGGCTTTTAGTGCTATAAATTTCCCTCTACACACTGCTTTGAATGTGTCCCAGAGATTCTGGTATGTTGTGTCTCTGTTCTTGTTGATTTCAAAGAACATCTTTATTTCTGCCTTCATTTTGTTATGTACCCAGTAGTCATTCAGGAGCAGGTTGTGCAGTTTCCATGTAGTTGAGCAGTTTTGAATGAGTTTCTTAATCCTGAGTTCTAGTTTGATTGCACTGTGGTCTCAGAGACAGTTTGTTATAATTTCTGTTCTTTTACATTTGCTGAGGAGTGCTTTACTTCCAACTATGTGGTCAATTTTGGAATAGGTGTGGTGTGGTGCTGAAAAAATGTATATTCTGTTGATTTGGGGTGGAGAGTTCTGTAGATGTCTATTAGGTCCGCTTGGTGCAGAGCTGAGTTCAATTCCTGGGTATCCTTGTTAATTTTCTGTCTCACTGATCTGTCTAATGTTGACAGTGGGGTGTTAAAGTCTCCCATTATTATTGTGTGGGAGTCTAAGTCTCTTTGTAGGTCACTCAGGACTTGCTTTATGAATCTGGGTGCTCCTGTATTGGGTGCATATATATTTAGGATAGTTAGCTCTCCTTGTTGAATTGATCCCTTTACCATTATGTAATGGCCTTCTGTCTCTTTTGATCTTTGTTGGTTTAAAGTCTGTTTTATCAGAGACTAGGATTGCAACCCCTGCCTTTTTTTGTTTTCCATTTGCTTGGTAGATCTTCCACCATCCCTTTATTTTGAGCCTATGTGTGTCTCTGCACGTGAGATGGGTTTCCTGAATACAGCACATTGATGGGTCTTGACTCTTTATCCAATCTGCCAGTCTGTGTCTTTTAATTGGAGCATTTAGTCCATTTACATTTAAAGTTAATATTGTTATGTGTGAATTTGATCCTGTCATTAAGATGTTAGCTGGTTATTTTGCTCGTTAGTTGATGCAGTTTCTTCCTAGCCTCGATGGTCTTTACAATTTGGCATGATTTTGCGGTGGCTGGTACCGGTTGTTCCTTTCCATGTTTAGTGCTTCCTTCAGGAGCTCTTTTAGGGCAGGCCTGGTGGTGACAAAATCTCTCAGCATTTGCTTGTCTGTAAAGTATTTTATTTCTCCTTCACTTATGAAGCTTAGTTTGGCTGGATATGAAATTCTGGGTTGAAAATTCTTTTCTTTAAGAATGTTGAATATTGGCCCTCACTCTCTTCTGGCTTGTAGAGTTTCTGCCAAGAGATCCGCTGTTAGTCTGATGGGCTTCCCTTTGAGGGTAACCCGACCTTTCTCTCTGGCTGCCCTTAACATTTTTTCCTTCATTTCAACTTTGGTGAATCTGATAATTATGTGTCTTGGAGTTGCTCTTCTTGAGGAGTATCTTTGTGGTGTTCTCTGTATTTCCTGAATCTGAACGTTGGCCTGCCTTGCTAGATTGCGGAAGTTCTCCTGGATAATATCCTGCAAAGTGTTTTCCAACTTGGTTCCATTCTCTCCGTCACTTTCAGGTACACCAATCAGACGTAGATTTGGTCTTTTCACATAGTCCCATTTTTCTTGGAGGCTTTGTTTGTTTCTTTTTATTCTTTTTTCTCTAAACTTCCCTTCTCGCTTCATTTCATTCATTTCATCTTCCGTCACTGATACTCTTTCTTCCAGTTGATTGCATTGGCTCCTGAGGCTTCTGCATTCTTCATGTAGTTCTCGAGCCTTGGCTTTCAGCTCCATCAGCTCCTTTAAGCACTTCTCTGTATTGGTTATTCTAGTTATACATTCATCTAAATTTTTTTCAAAGTTTTCAACTTCTTTGCCTTTGGTTTGAATTTCCTCCTGAAGCTCGGAGTAGTTTGATCATCTGAAGCCTTCTTCTCTCAATTCGTCAAAGTCATTCTCCGTCCAGCTTTGTTCCATTGCTGGTGAGGAGCTGGGTTCCTTTGGAGGAGGAGAGGCACTCTGCTTTTTAGAGTTTCCAGTTTTTCTGCTCTGTTTTTTCCCCATCTTTGTGGTTTTATCTACTTTTGGTCTTTGATGATGGTGATGTACAGATGGGTTTTTGGTGTGGATGTCCTTTCTGTTTGTTAGTTTTCCTTCTAACAGACAGGACCCTCAGCTGCAAGTCTGTTGGAGTTTGGTAGAGGTCCATTCCAGACCCTGTTTGCCTGGCTACCAGCAGCAGTGGCTGCAGAACAGCGGATTTTCGTGAACCGCGAATGCTGCTGTCTGATCATTCCTCTGGAAGTTTTGTCTCAGAGGAGTACACGGCCTTGTGAGGTGTCAGTCTGCCCCTACTGGGGGGTGCCTCCCAGTTAGGGTGCTCGGGGGTCAGGGGTCAGGGACCCACTTGAGGAGGCAGTCTGCCCATTCTCAGATCTCCAGCTGCGTGCTGGGAGAACCACTGCTCTCTTCAAAGCTGTCAGGAAGGGACATTTAAGTCTGCAGAGATTACTGCTGTCTTTTTGTTTGTCTGTGCCCTGCCCCCAGAGGTGGAGCCTACAGAGGCAGGCAGGTCTCCTTGAGCTGTGGTGGGCTCCCCCCAGTTCGAGCTTCCCGCCTGCTTTGTTTACCTAAGCAAGCCCGGGCAATGGCGGGCGCCCCTCCCCCAGCCTCGCTGCCACCTTTCAGTTTGATCTCAGACTGCTGTGCTAGCAATCAGCGAGGCTCCATGGGTGTAGGACCCTCTGAGCCAGGTGCGGGATATAATCTCCTGGTGCACCGTTTAAGCCCATTGGAAAAGTGCAGTATTGGGGTGGGAGTGACCCGATTTTCCAGGTGCCGTCTGTCACCCCTTTCTTTGACTAGGAAAGGGAACTCCCTGACCCCTTGTGCTTCCCAAGTGAGGCAATGCCTCACCCTGCTTCGGCTCGTGCATGGTGCGCTGCACCCACTGTCCTGTGCCCACTGTCTGGCACTCCCTAGTGAGATGAACCCGGTACCTCAGATGGAAATGCAGAAATCACCCATCTTCTGCATCACTCACGCTGGGAGCTGTAGACCGGAGCTGTTCTTATTTGGCCATCTTGGCTCCACTCATGACAGCTCATTTCTATGTAAGTATATTATCCTTATTTTACCTCTGATGAAACTGAAACTTAGTAACTGGCCCAGGGTCACACTGCTAGAAATAGCTGAGCTGGAATTGAATGCATGTCTGTTGAATTACAAGGCCTGGGCTCTTGTCCACGTAGGGACAGAAGACAGAATTATGCAACAACGGGAGGAACCTCAGAGATGTCCTAATGCATCATGACAAACCCTCTGTCCCTCTCCTGCCTGATTACAACTCTGCCAAATACACACATTTCACAGACAAAAACACTGCTAATCAGGTCATTCAAATGCCTCACCAACTCACAGGTTACACAAATGGTGAATGTACTCATACAAAGTGACATTCAACAGTTTTAAAGATGAAAAATTATTGACTTTTAGTTTCTCCTCCACTCCCCTGCTTAAAGTCAACTTTATTGGGATTATAATTTGTATTCGGAAAACTCCATTTATTTAAGGTACACAAATTAAGAAGTTTTGAGAGATGTGTACACTCTTGAAACCACTCCAATGGTCAAAAAACAGAAGATTTCTACCATCCCCAAAAGATACCCTCTGTTCCCTTGTACTCTATTATTCCCTCTACCCACACCCCAAGGCAAAAACTGATCTGCATTGGTTGCTATTGATTAGCTTGTGTGTTCTACAATTTTATATAACTAAATTCATATTCAGATAGATTCCTTTGTGTCTGAATTCCTTCCCTTAGCATGATGATTTTGAGATTCCTTCATGATGTTTTGTGTGTTAGTAGCTCATTCCTTTGTATTGCTGGGTAGTACCCCCTTATATGGCTGCACCACGTTTTGTCTCTCCATTACCTGTTGAAAGACATTTGGGTTATTTCCAGTTCTTATAGCTACAGCAAATAAAATTACTGTGAATATATGTATACAAACTTTTATGCTGTCATATGTTTTCATTTTTCTTGGGTAAATACCTCAGAGTGGGATGGTTAGGGTGTATGTAAAGCGTATGTTCAACTTTTAAAAAATTGACATCTTCCAAAGTGGTTACACTCTTTTACATTCCCACCAGCAATGCTGCATTCCAATGCCTCGACATGCTTGCCAGCATTTAGTCAAAGTTTTCAGTCTTTTTAATTTTAACCATTCTGGTAGACATATAGTGGTTTTCATTTACATTTCTCTGATGACCAATGATGTTGAGCATCTTTTCTTGTGTTTATTAAACGTAAGAATATCTTCATTTGAAAGTGTCTATTCCACGATTTTACCATTTTCATAGAATTTCTTATTATAGAGTTGTAGTGTTCTCTGTCTATTCTGTATACAAACTTTTTTGTAAGCTATATACTCTGGTGGTTTTATAGTTATGTGTACAAATTCTTGGATACTCATCCACTCAAGAGGTAGAGCTTAATTCAGCTTCCCTTTTATATGGGCTGGATTTAAGGACTCACTTCTAACAAATAGAACATCACAGAGTTATGGGATGTTGCTCCAGAGAGTAGATGATAAAATGACCGCAGCTGCCATCTTTAGTGCACTCACTCACTTCTCTCTCTTCAGCTACTCACTCAAGGAGAAGGGAGCTGCCATGTCCTGAGGACAGACAAGAGGCCTTATGGGAGGCTCATGTGTCCAGAAACTGAGGTAATC
The DNA here is from genome assembly GCF_000001405.40 of Homo sapiens. Taxonomy (NCBI): domain Eukaryota; kingdom Metazoa; phylum Chordata; class Mammalia; order Primates; family Hominidae; genus Homo; species Homo sapiens. Next base: position 46,615,852 of record NC_000012.12, on the reverse strand, counting down.
TTCTGGATCTTCTACCAGTAGCCACATAAGAGGGCCTGAAAGCGGATCTTCCCCAAATTCAGTCTTTAGATGACTTTATCCCAGCCAACAGCTTAATTGCCATTTCCCAGATTTTGGCCCACAGAAACTGTGAGATAATAATTGTTTGTTGTTTCAAGTTTCTAAGTTTTGTGGGTAATTTTTTATAGAGCAATAGATAACTAACACGTAACATTGCAACAATTTTCTCCAATTCCATGGCTTGCCTTTTTATTTTTCTAAAGGTGTCTTTTGAAGAGCAAAAGATTTTAATTTTGACAAAGTCCATTTTATCATTGTTTCTTTAATGGTTCATTATTTGGGCATTTAAGAACTCTTTGCCTTCTTCAAGAACATAGAAATTTTCTCCTATGTTTTCCTCTAGAATTTTTATCATTTTGGTTCTTAAATTTACATTTACCATCCATTTTTGCTGGTACATAGGAAATCCTTTTGCAGGACCTTTCCTTAGTTCAGCTAAAGATGAGCTTCTTTGTCCCATGGCCATGAAAATTCAGGCTCACAGACAATTTGAATGATGAGTAGGACAGGGTTTTATTAGGTGAAAAGGAAGAAAAGGGGCAAACAGGGACTCTCGCAAGGCCAGAGTCCCTGCTAGAGTACTTGCCACACGCAGCTTGAGTCCCAGGTTCCACACAGGAAGAGGAGGGGCCGGGCTCTTCCCCACTGCAAATGGCACAAACTTCCCAAGGTTCCACCCCCATGTGCATTCCTCCCAGTGGGCAGACTTGTTGGAGATTATCCAACAAGACCCCCTCTCACCTGGCACACTCATTATCTCTTGAATGAATGACAACATTCATTTTGTATCTGAGGTAAGAATCAAGATTCATTGTTTCCTTACAAACATCCAGTTGCTCCACCATCACTTGTTGAAAACTTTCTTTTCCCCATCAAATTTCCATCTTTGTAAAAAATCAACTGATCATAAATATAAGAGTCTATTTCTGGGTTTTTCTGTTCCATGCATCTATATATCTACCCTTCCACTACTACCATACAGTCTTGATTATTTAACACTATATAAAGTCTTGAAATTGGGTAACATAAGACCACCAACTTTGTTCTTCTTTTTAAATTTATTCAGTAATTTGCATTTTCATATATATTTTATAATTAGCTTCTGAATTTCTAAAAACTAGCATGCTGACAGTTTGATTTGGAATATATTGAATCTATAGATGAATTTAGGAAGAATTGAACTCTTAAGAAAATTCAATGTTTACTGTGTATTTTTTAAAAAATTATTGATTCAAGGGCACATTACTAGTATTGGAAGATCATACTTTAAGGGAAATTCTGTTGTGCAATTATGTACCTTTTTCTGAAGTTACTTTTGCATACGCCTCAGTTTCCTAGTCTATAAAGTGGGAAAATGGGATACTTACCTCTGAGGATCACAACTGAAATATTAGAGAGGGTATAAATATGGGATAGAGTCAAGTAAAAGAATGAAAGGGCCAGGCGTGGTGGCTCACGCCTGTAATTCCAGCACGTTGGGAGGCCAAGGTGGGTGGATCACGAGGTCAGGAGATTGAGACCATCCTGGCTAACACGGTGAAACCCCGTCTCTACTAAAAATACAAAAAATTAGCCAGGCATGGTTGCAGGCACCTGTAGTCCCAGCTACTCGGGAGGCTGAGGCAGGAGAATGGCGTGAACCCAGGAGGTGGATCTTGCAGTGAGCTGAGATCTAGCCACTGAGCCACTGCACTCCGGCCTGGGTGACGACAGAGCAAGACTCCATCTCAAAAAAAAAAAAAAAAGAATTAAAGACATGTAGTCTTATTCAGCTCTAAGAACTTTGGGGGATAAATATTTTTTAGAATAATTTTGAAAAAGAATTATTTAAGAATGCATCTTAACTAGTAAATTTATTTTGTTTTCGGTTCATTTTCTGGTGACCTACAAAAACAAGCAGCCAATATTTTATCCAAACCTGATAAGGAGCTGGCTTTGTTTCATTCATTTGTTCAACATTCATTTACTATGTACCAGCATGGATAAAGCACTGGGTACAGGGTATGCGTGTGTATGTGTGTGTGTATTATTGGTGTGCATAAGTACACCCATAATTGTATGTGTCTTTCTTTGTATTTGTACCTTTTGATGAAAACTCCTATAATTGTTCTTCTCCTCCTCCCCCAATCTTTTGAGCTAAGATTGAAATTATGTATCACTGATTATTTCAGCCTGTTCTCAACATTGTTTCTTTCAGCTTATTTTGTCCCTGATATTGTTGCAAAAACGTGATTTCTCTGGCCTTTGCTCTGAGGTTTGAAGGAGGGGAAGAAAGAGACTGAAGTTAGAGGTAATGATCATATGATGATCTTTTCCTGTTTCAGATCCCAGGCCATAAGCATCCCACCTTACAGGAAAAAAAACAACAGCCAACAAATATTTACTAGGTGCCTGGATTTAGTATATTGGAGGCTGTTTATGTCAATATCATCACAACTTGAACTACACTGTTTATCTGTGATGGTGGAAGAATGCTGAAAAGATGTAGGCAGAGCTGTGAGGAGGCTCCAGCAACCATCCAGGTGAAAAGCGATGGAAGTCAGGACCAGTGGTGACAGCACAAATGGAGAGAAGTGGATGGGAAATATGGGAAATATCACAGCTGCTGATGGATTGGATACAGGATTTGAGAGAGAATGATGCCCAAGTTGCCACAACTGCAGGATGCCGTTATGTTCACTGAGATTTGGGAATAGTGAGTGTTGGTCAGGGTTAGTAGAGGGAACATGGTGAATTTGTTTTGTTCATGTTGAATTTAAGATGTTTTTGAGATGACCAAGTGGATACATGAGGACATGCTTGACCTGGTATTCAAAGGAAAGACATGGACTGGAGATACACATTTCCAAGTCATGGCCATGTGGGCAGGAATTCAATCCTGATCATAGAGTTTGCCTGAGGAAGAAGTATAGAGCAAGAAGAGGACAGGGCCCAGGAATGGGTTTTTGGGAATTCTGATATTTAATGGTCATATAGAGTAGCATGAGTCTGAAAGGGAATTAAGGAAGAACAGAGAGAAAATTTAGTTGAAAGACCAGTAGAGGCTGAAAGCCAGAAGAAAATAGTGTTTCAAAAAGGTGTAGATTACGGAAGTGGGGCTATAGTGTTCAATGCTGCTGAAAATTCAAGTAAAATGAAAACTGGATGAACACACAATTTCATAGCAGGATATAGTTTCCAGCTAAGGAGAGTCTTATTTGTGAAAGAGAGAGAGAAAGAAAGAAAAGGAGGAAGATGGAAGGAAGGAAGGAAGGAAGGAAGGAAGGAAGGAAAGGGGAGGGGAGGGGAGGAAGGATAATTTCTTAGGACAAATAAATCAAAACAACCCAGAAGTGTGATTTTTGGCACTTTCTACCTATGGATTGGAGATTTCAAATTTCAGATTCCTCTTTTCATCTACCTATGGATTGGAGATTCAAATTTCAGATTCCTCTTTTCATCTACCTATGGATTGGAGATTTCAAATTTCAGATTCCTCTTTTCATTATCTTCTTTAGCTAGTAAGAAGAAAATAACTTTCTTTACCTTTTGACAGACTGGAATACATCGACGTTCTCCCTTGAGAAAAATTCTAAATGTGGGATTATCTAGCTTTAAAAAAAAAAAAAACAACAAAACAAAAATCTTCGACTACCTTTGGCAGTCTATTCCAGAAGGAACTGTCAGGATCTGCAAGCATCTTGAGTCCTGTAAGATCGGTTCATGACGTCGCTACAGCCTGGAGTCCTCAGCAATCAGAAACCCAATAGATGCAGTTTACGAACACAATTTAGACAATCTGGAATTGGCAATGGTGTAGAAATTCCTTTATATTCACTGGTAAAGCAGCTTTCAGATACTGAGAGAAGCATATCCAAGCAAACTAAAGTTGGAGGCTATTATGAAAATATGCAATGTTTCTAAAGTTGCTTTTTGACACAAGGACTTTTTGTTTCTTAGCAAATAGAATTTTAGACCCAAAGTCAAGAAATCTGAACTTAATTTTGTTAAATAAACCAACTTTATGATGTAAACACGCCATTTAGGCCTTCCGAGCTTCAGTTTTCCCCTCTTTAAATTTAAAACATTTCTACCCAACTCTCATTGTTGTCTCTGTGATCAAAGATCATGCCCATAAATGTGCTTTAAAAACACCAAATGAGTCTGGGTGTGGTGGCTTATGCCTGTAATCCCAGCACTTTGGGAGGCTGAGGCAGGTGGATCACTTGAGGCCAGGAGTTCGAGACTATCCTGGCCAACATGAAGAAATCCCCATCTCTACTAAAAATACAAAAATTAGCCAGATGTGGTGGCGGGCATCTGTAATCCCAGCTACTCAGGAAGCTGAGGCAGGAGAATCGCTTGAATCCAGGAGGCGGAGGCTGCAGTTAGCTGAGATTGCGCCACTGCACTCCAGCCTGGGTGACAGAGCAAGACTCTATCTCGAAAACAAAACAAAACGAAACGAAACAAAACACAAATGCCACCAAATGATATAAAAATGCCATAAATATATTTTTATTAATCTTTTAAACATGTTGAGTATGGCTTAAATTTCCAAAGATGGTTAAGAACCAACAAAACAGCCCTCTGTTTTCAGCAGAGATTTTAAGACTTTTTAAAATTTACACATTATAATTTATATCCTATAATTTCCATGGTATTTTTAAAAGTTCTACCCTGATGCCCTCTCAAAAACAAACAAGTAAACCCACAGTAAATGTCTAACTTTGGCTTTGCCCTAACACTTTTTAAAAAAAAAAAATAAACCTCACCTTATTTAGGTGGTAAAAGTCACTTCACACATCAGCTTCAATTCTCACCTTCCCATGAGATCTTCCCTGACTTTAGCCATAGTGACTGTCCTGTCTGTGGTTTTTAGCCACAGGGCCCAGCACGCACTGTGCTTTTTCACTCTGTTCTCTAATTGGGCATGTGCGTGTTCTGCTTCACCAGGTTCAATGATGATCAGGAGAGATGGCGTTGAACAATTCCAGGTACCAACCATAGTTCTTTCTTAGTTCCTCACAGATCTTAATCCATGCATACACATGTGTTTGTTAAGTTTTTAAATTTAAATAGCATGGAGCAGTGGAGTAGAGAACAGACAGTACAAAAGCCTCCAGCTTGGCTTTGTCATTCACTAGCTATTGGCACTGAGTAATTTACCCAATGCCCCTGAACCTTCTTTATCAATAAAAAAGGAAGCTGGGCTAAGTCTAGTTAATTCTATGATAACCAAAATTACATTGATAGATTCCATCCAGCAGTTAACCTTTAAACTCTCTTCCTACAAAGCTGACAACACCTTAGGTCTCTTTTCAGTCTAATCTCTGGTTGCTCTTACTATTAATACTATTACTATTATTAACATAGTATTCCTTGAGCATCTACTAGGTGTTATGCCCCCGTGCCAAACACTTTCCTTGTATTATCTCATTTAATATTCACCTCACTGAGATACTGTACCAATTGGGACTTACAGTGCAAGCTATAGAAACCAATTTGGGCTGATTTAAGGAGGATATCAGGCAGCTTATAGGATTATGGAAGGGCTGGAGAACCCTTTTGAGGCTCTACAGGCTGGAGTACCGCTTAAAAATCACACAATTGAACCATTTTGGTGAGGTGACCACTGCTACTCTGGGAATTGGCTAGTGCATCCTGTAGTGCTAACCACTGGGACTACCATCCCTGCCACCACTGCTGCTCCTGAACTTGGTTCTTCTACCACCATCCACTGTGAGAAGTCATTTGTTAACTGCAGCTCTGGGGCAGGTGCCCACACCATAATTACAAGGGAGGCTGGGAGAGCAAGTAGCTGACATTATATAGTGAACGCATTCCTGAGTCACAGGAGGGAGACTCCACACACTGGACAACCAAAAAGAATGGCAAATGTCCACTGTAAATATCCTCACTATTATTATCTCTATTTATCAAACCAGAATATTGATGTTTAGTAAGGTTAAATAACTTGTCCAAGGCCATAGAGATGGCTAGTGGCCAAAGCAGGCTGTCTGGCCCCATACACTACAGTCTCTCCAACAATGCTCTTCCCGCTCAGGCTCAATAACTTCCAGTGAATGGGAGGCTCCAAAGAGGTTAGCTTGGATTGTAGATTTAATTTACCTTTATCATTATGGTTGTCATCATCAACATTATCACTATATTTAAAGACAATCTGCAAAGTTGTGACTCAATGACCAATCTACTCACAAACCCCTAAGTCACTTAAATGTACCCATAGACATGAAGATGAATTTCTATTTTTAAAAAAAGAAGTTCTCATAGGCAAAAATGAGAATAGAAAAACACCTCTGGTTAGAGATAAAGTGATAACTCACAACTAAGGAGCCAAAGTTCAGCCACAAGCTAGTACAGGAAACTGTGGTCCCATCTCCTAAGACAGCTACCATTTTACAATGAAACAACAACAGCTCTCCAAATCTCAGTGTGTTCTCCCTGCAGTTGTTTGCATTGCAATTATGGAAGAGGAAAACTGCAGGTCCTCTGATAATAGCTCAGTGGAGAGAACGCTGCACACTTAAGAATAGAATCTACATCAAGAAAGTGGGGAAAGCAGTCCTGTTCCTCCTCCCCACCCACCTTCAGACTGCTTTTTCCTAGAGCGTAGGAGAGTTGCTAGACAGCCAATTCCTGATTATGTGTGGTAAGGAGGAAGGAGAAGGAAGGACAACATGGACAGCCCCCAAACCACATTTTATGGCTACAAGCATTGTCTCCTTTACCACAGAACTTTTGCCAGAACTGAACATTAGAAACCAAATCTCTAACTGGGGGTTGTTGTCCTGCCTTTCCCCAGCCCTGGCTGCCAGTCCTTTTTGGTAGAGGAGGTTATAAGCAAGTAAAGGGCCCAAAAGCCCAAGTATAAGGAGATGGCAGGGAGAATTCAATAGCAGGAATAATCCACAGAAACCAGAAAGGCAGCTACTCATTTCTGAGGGAATCAAGAATTAGCTACATTCTTGCTCTCTAAGCAACAACTGTCATGTGATCTTGTTTAAATACTGAGGTTTGATCAATTTCTAAAAATTATTTTGATTTCCCAAAACACATATGTATAATCTGCTCCATCTCAATGAAGAAAGTGGGTTAAAAATGTGTACTCACTCACCCTTAGTCATCTGATTCTAATTTAGAACACACTTTTCCTGGCTTTCTACTACAACCAAAACTATTCATTGCACTGATCATAACAATTCTCCTAAAACAGGCAATAAAAGGAGCAGAACTTCCTCCTGTGGCCAGAAACTTTCCCAAAGCTTAGGCCTTCCAGCAATTACATGCCTTTTCACTGCAGTACCTTAACCTATTGCTAATAAAGCCTCTTTGGCCAGTCAGAGTTGCCATCTTTAGAGACAGAGGGCAAAAACAACAAAAAAAGGAGACACTCTCAGAGCGGTCATTTATTCAAACTGCCCCATCCGAGAAGCCTCTATTCTTGGTAAGGAGGAGCCCACTTAGGAGACTACATAAAAGTACACATCAAGAGAATTCTGAGATAAAATTTTATATCCTGAATGATTAAGAATGGTGTTTCTAAAACAAACAATGGTTTTAGTAATAGACCCTTCAATGGCTAAGTGCACCAACATTATTATTTTTTATTTTTTATTTTTGAGACAGAGTCTCACTCTGTTGCCCAGGCTAGAGTGCAGTGGCATGACCCCAGCTCACTGCCAGCTCCAACTCCCAGGTTCACGCCATTCTCCTGCCTCAGCCTCCCGAGTAGCTGGGACTATAGGCACCCGCCACTACGCCCGGCTAATTTTTTAGTAGAGACGGGGTTTCACCGTGTTAGCCAGGATGGTCTCGATCTCCTGACCTTGTGATCCACCTGCCTCGGCCTCCCAAAGTACTAGGATTACAGATGTGAGCCACTGCGCCCAGCCAACATTATTTTTAATAATTAATGAACTACTTAAAAGAGGAGGATTATTTGTAAGGATTTTGAAATAATGGAATAACTTTTAGAAAATTATACTTCTGTCATTTGTAGCCCTGATTGGCTTAATTTATTTTACACATCCAAGGCTGATGTACTATAATCAATACAATGAATAGCCCCAGCAGTCAGTCCACAAAAGGATTTTTAGGGCTGTTTGGTGTCCATTACTCTGAGAAGCAGATGAACTGAATTTGAGTGTCAAAGGTATACCTTAATAGAGAAGTTGTATAAATTGCCCAAGATCACACAGCCAGCCCAAGAATCTAGTCGTCTGACTCTGCTCAGGGCACTTTCCTTCCATTGTTTGGACTTTCTGCTTTAAGGAACAGATTTATCAATTTGGTGAGAAAAAAAAATGTGATGAGATTTTCAAGAAATGTGCCAGGAACACACACTGCAGAAAAGACAGTCTCTTCAATAAATGATACTGGGAAAATTGGATATCCATATGCAGAAGAATGAAACTAGACTTTTATCTCTCACCATATACAAAAATCGACCAAAATGGATTAAAGAATTAAATCTTAGACCTCAAACTATAAAACTACTACAAGAAAACATTGGGAAAAATCTCCAGGCCATTGGTCTGGACAAAGATTTCTTGAGTAATATGCCACAACCACAGGCAACCAAAGCAAAAATGGACAAATTGGATGGCATAAAAAGCTTCTGCACAGCAAAGGAAATAATCCACAAAGTGAAGAGATAACCCACAGAATGGGAGAAAATATTTCCAAACCACCCATCTGACAAAAGATTAATAACCAGAATATATCAGGAGCTCAGACAACTCTATAGGAAAAATTCTAATAATCCAATTAAAAAATGGACAAAAGATTTGTATAGATATTTCTCAAAAGTAGACATACAAATGGCAAACAGACATAGGAAGAGGTGCTCAACATCACTGATCATCAGAGAAATGCAAATCAAAACTACAATGAGATATCATCTCACCTTAGTTATAATGGGTTTTATGCAAAAGACAGGCAATAACAAATGCTGACAAGGAAGTGCAGAAAAAGGAATCCTCATACACTGTTGGTGGAAATGAAAATTAGTGCAATCACTATGGAGAACAGTTTGGGGGTTCTTCAAAAACTAAAAGTTAAAAATAGAGCTACCATATGATCCGGCAATTTCATTGCTAGTTACATACCCAAAAGAAAGAAATCAGTATATCAAAAGGATATCTGCATTCTCATGTTTGTTGTGGCTGTGTTCACCATAGCCAAGATTTGGAAGCAATCTAATTGGCCATCAACAGATGAATGGATAAAGAAAATGTGATACTTATACACAATGGAGTACTATTTAGGCATAAAAAAGAATGAGATTAAGTCATCTGCAACTTGGATGCAACTGTTAAGTGAAATAAGCCAGGCACAGAAAGACAAACATCACATGTTCTCACTTATTTGTGTGATCTGAAAATCAAAGCAGTTGAACCCATGGAGATAGAGAGTAGAGTGATGGTTACCAGAGGCTGGGAAGGTGGGGATGGTTATGGGGTACAAAAATAGAATGAATTAATATGCCCTAGTGTTTGATAGCACAATAGGATGACTACAGTCAATAATAATTTAATTGTACATTTTAAAATAACTAAAAGACTATAATTAGATTGCCTGTAACACAAAGGATAAATGCTTGAGGTGATAGATACCTCATTTTCCATCATGTGATTATTACACATTGCATGCCTGTATCTAAACATTTCATGTATCCCATAAATATATACACCTACTATGTACCCACAAAAATTTAAAATCATACTTTTAAAAAAGTCATAAGACATCAGCTAAAGACAACCACTCAAATGGAGAACGATTACACACAATCTTCACTGTTCTCCCCAAATTTGTTTTTAGAAAACCATTTCAGTGTCTATGGAAACATCTGCTGTTTTCCTTACATGAGATGCACGCTCCCCTGTTCTCTGCTTCTCCGAATTCTGCTAGGCCTTCAAAACTCAGCATGAACCCTATACTACTCCTCAAAGAAGTCCTGCTTGATCACTTGATACCTCTTCTCATAAAAATAGAGGCAACACAAGAAAGAGGTGACAAATGAGGGTTTTAAAGTCAAACAAATCTGGATCCAAAATCTGCTCTTTACAGGCTTTTGGGTTACTTATCCATGAGGTGAGATCATATATACTCATATAATGTTTAGCTTTAAAACAAAACAAAACAAAACCTTTATAGCATTTATAGACAAACTCAGAGGCTCACAAAGAGTATTCTGAGCTCTCTGGCAGTCTAACAATGGATTATATTGGTCATAATTAGTCTCTTCAATATTTGGGGTAACCAGATAGAGCTTGAGGCAAGTCGGGTGGCTAAAGTCTGCCAGGCTCACCACCTCTGGCCATGAACAGTTCCTTGGTTCCCACAAGAGACAACATGATGAATTGTTTCTAGTACTTGCTGCTCTACTCAACATGCTGAGTATAGGGAAGAGGGTCCTTTACTGCCAGGTCATCTACATCAGCTACCATCTATCATGGATGAGACACAAGCCCAAAGTTGCAAAGGGTATCCAACGTTCTGCCTTGGGAGTGTCATATGCCCTTGCTTTTTCATATTTCTTGTGCTCTTATGTTAGTATCTGCCATCCAGTGTAACAGTTGCTTCTTCTGATTTTTTGAATTTGCTTTTTTAGGGAATGATGTTTTTTTGAAGATGTATCTATGGTTTTGGTTGGGTAGGACACTTTAGCTTTGATTCTGAGTATACGCAGTAGTTTGGTCGTTGTATGATTTCTTTGGCTCTAGACAGCATCAGTAGTGTCTGTGACTTCCTCAGTGGCACAGGCTATGGTTGTCAGTGTAGTCCGTAGTGCAGTTTTGTTGGCATAAGGACTCCAGGTGAACTTGTCCTTGAGTCCAAGTGGTGGTGGCAGCATGCTAAGCATGCCTGTCCTTGGGCCTCTCGGTGGCGTACACAAGCACCAATGTTACTGGGTCCAAGTAAGCCAATTCGTGGGCCTCCAGGTGGCTGCTCAGGTGCTGGTAGTGGCAACAATAGCTGGGCAGGTAGGTGGGTCTTTTGGCCCCTGGGCAGCATGTGTGATGTGAGTGATGGCTGTAGCAGTGGTAGGACAACCAATGGGCACAGGCTTGTGTTAGAATTGCTTTGACAGGCTAAGTGTGTCAGTACTAAGACCTCCAGGTGGTAGATGTAGATGGATACCGGCTATAATGGTAGCAGTAGCCTAAGTGGAGCCATCCTCAAGCTCCCAGGAGAAGTGCACAGATGCCAACAATGGTGGATGGCGGGAGCAATATCCAGATTCCTGGAAATTGTGTTTAGTCACTGAGGAACAGGGGGAGTGCCAGACCAGATAGACCCATCCTTGGGTCCCCTAGTGGTGCACACATGCACAGGCTGTGGTAGGCAAGATGGTCTTATTTCGAGGTTCCCCAGTGGAATGCTTGGGTGGCAGTAGCAACAGCTGCAGTGAACAAGGAGACCCCACCTCAGGGCACAGGCAAGTGCACTATGGCCTTGCTGCTGGGGAAACAGGGTTGCTACCAGTGGCAGCAGCCACAGGCAAGCAGCAGTCAGGCTCTGGGGAGGGCATGCTTCAGCCCCCAATAATGGTAGCCTTGATGGTGGCAATGGTAGCTGCAGGGAGAGCAGCCCTCAGTGTGCGTGCCAGTGTGCAGCATCCCTGCTGCTGGGGGTAAAGGGGTTGCTGCCAGTTGTGCACACCTTTGCCCCCAGCAGCAGCAGTGTCAGCAGTTGTAGGCTGAGAGAGCTTTTCCTCAGAGCATGTGCAAGGGCACTGAAGCTCTATTGTTGGTGAGGACTGGGTTCCTGTCAGTGGCAATAGCCCCAGGCAAGTGGATTTTGGGCTCTGATAAGTGCATGTTTGTCCCAAGGAGAGCTTTCCCAATGCATTGCACCACGCATTTTCCAGGACACAATACATTATGTGTGCTAGAGTGCTGGGAACCCTACTGCTCCCCTGAGTCCAACCAGTGTTACACTGCTGCAGACCTCCAGGTAGACAAAGGAGGATGTCAGTGTGGCTTCAAGGATGTGTAGATGCAGGGGCTGCTGGGCCCCAAGGCAGAATGCAGGCAAGTGGGGACTAGGCTCTCAAAGTGGCATTGTGCTGCAGCTGCTAGGACTCAGAAGATGGTCTGGAGCACAGTGTGAACTCCCTCTCTGGAGCAATGTTATTATGTGATATCTATGCAGCTCTCTCTGCTAGTCCCAAGGTCAGCAATGCTTGAGGAGCTCTCCAATGGCTAGGGTTGCAGGAGTCCATGGTGGAAATGTAGACCACTGGGTATCTCTCATTTATCCATTCCCCACACTGGTGAGTGACTCTGGGATCCCAGCTGATCAAAGGCTGAGCTGGGCTACTTTGCTTCCTTCTCCGTCCATGCCTTGGGTGTTTCCTGTAATTTCTCTGTTGAATTCCAGTGTTCTCTCTTAGATGCTTTCTTGGAAGTGTGATTATCTGCTTGCTATTTTGGTTATTCCTTGTGGACGAGGTAAGTGCTGGATGCCTCTAGTTAGCCATCCTGAATTCCCTCTTCCCAAAATAATTTAACGAGAAATTACTCAGGGTTTTTCTTTTTCTTTTTTCTTTTCCTACTGAATCTAGGAATTTAAGGAAATTTCTATCAGAATAATGGCTGATCACAAGAAAATGGAACAGAGAACTCAATGACTACACATCACAAGGAATATAGTTCAGGAAAAAATGCAGGCAAAATTTTCTAAACAAATAACAACAGCATCCATCCCTCACCAAGCAATAACAGCAATCCCCAAGGAGGAGGTGAATTTGATTTCCAGAGTTGCATGTTACAATAGTGAAAATGTCCAGTTCTCAATTTAATATTGTAAAGCATACAAACAAACTGGAAAGTTTGGCCCATTCACTCAAAAGTGAAAGAAGTTGACAGAAACTATCCCTAAGGAAGCCCAGACATTGGGTATACTAGACAAAGACTTCAAATTAACTCTCTTAAATGTAATCAAAAAACTGAGTGAACCAGGAACAAAGAACTACAGAAAATCAGGAGAATGATGTATAAACAAGCAGGGACTACGAACAAAGAGGTAGAAATTACAAAAAGTAGCCAAACAAAATTTTTGATACTTAAAAAATACAATGGCTGAAGTGAAAATTTCACTAGATGGTTTCAACAGCAAATTGGAGCAGGCAGAAGAACAAGTGAACTTAAAGATAGGGCAATTGAAAGTGCCCAATCCCAGGAGCAGTAAGAAAAAATAATGAATAAAAGTAAACAAAGTATAAGGGGGGCTGTGGTGCACTATCAAGCAGACTAACATACATATTTTCAGAGTCTCAGAGGAGCAAAACAAAGAGAGCAAGATGAAGAGACACAAAGAAAGAGAGAAAAGGAGATAGCTTATTTGAAGAAATAATGGTAGAACACTGCCCACATTTTATGGGAAATATAAATCTACGCTTCTGAGATGCTCAACAAATTCCAAGCATGCTGAACTCAAAAAGAACCATACTGAGATATAATCAAATTTTTGAAACAAAGAGGAAACATTGAAACCAGCAAGAAAAAAAGTGCCTTCTCAGGAACATGAAACAAATTTCTCAACAGAAACCATAGAAGTCAGAGGCAATGGAATGATATATTTAAAGTGCTGAGAGAAAAAAAAAAAAAAGGCCAGCCAAGAATTCTATATCTGACAAAAAATATCCTTCAAAACTGAAGGTGAAATTAAGACATTTCTAGCTTTAAAAAAAATTCAGTTTGTCAACAGTAGACCTTTCCTATAAGAAATGCTTAAAGGAGGTGGCTGGCAAGATGGCCAAATAGGAACAGCTCCAGTCTGCAGCTCCCAGGGAGATCAATGCACAAGGTGGGTGATTTCTGCATTTCCAATTGAGGTACCTGGCTCACCTCACTAGGACGGGTTAGACAGTGGGTGCAGCCATCGAAGGGCAAGACAAAGCAGTGTGGGGCGTTGCCTAACCTGGGAAGCACAAGGGGTCGGGGAACTCCCTCCCCTAGCCAAGGGAAGCTGTGAGGGACTGTTGTGTGAGAAACGGTGCGTGAGTACCCAGGTACTACACTTTTCCCACAGTCTTCACAACCCTCAGACCAGGAGATTTCCTCCAGTGCCTACACCACCAGGGCCCTGGGTTTTAAGCACAAAACTTGGCAGCCATCTGGGCAGACACCAAACTAGCTGCAGGAGTTTTTTTTTTTTTCATACCCCAGTGGCACCTGGAACACCAGCGAGACAGAAGCATTCATTCCACAGGAAAGGGGGCTGAAGGCAGGGAGCCAAGTAGTCTAGCTCAGCAGATCCTACCCCCACAGACCCAGCAAGCTAAGATCCACTGGCTTGAAATTCTAGCACAGCATTCTGAATTTGACCTGGGATGCTCCAGCTTGGTGGGGGAAGGGGTGTCCACCATTACTGAGGTTTCAGTAGGTGGTATTCCCTTCACAGTGTAAACACAGCCACTGGGAAATTTGAACTGGGCAGAGCCCACCACAGCTCAGCAAAAACGTTGTAGCCAGACTGCCTCTCTAGATTCCTCCTCTCTGGGCAGGGCATCTCTGAAAGAAAGGCAGCAGCCCCACTCAAGGGCTTATAGAAAAAAACTCTCATTTCCCTGGGACAGAGCACCTGGGGGAAAGGGTGGCTGTGGACACAGCTTCAGCAGACTTAAACGTCCCTGCCTGCTGACTCTGAAGGGAGCAGTGAATTTCCCAGAACAGCACTCAAGTTCTGCTAAGAGACAGACTGCCTCCTCAAGTGGGTCCCTGACCCCCATGCCTCCTGACAGGGAGACACTTATCAGCAGGTGTACACAGACACCTCACACAGGAGAGCTCTGGCTGGCATCTGGCAGGTGCCCCTCTGGGACAAAGCTTCCAGAGGAAGGAATAGGCAGCAATCTGCTGTTCTGTAGCTTCTGCTGGTGATACCCATGCAAACAGTGTCTGGAGTGGACTCCAGCAAAAGCCAAGCAGACCTGCAACAGAGGGGCTTGACTTTTAAAAGGAAAACTAACAAACAGAAAAGAATAGCATCAACATCAACAAAAAGGACGTCCACACAGAAACCCCATCCAAAAGTCACCAACATCAAAGACCAAAGGTAGATAAATCCACAAAGGTGAAGAAAAACCAGCGCAAAAATGCTGAAAATTCCAAAAACCACAACACTTCTTCTCCTTCAAAGGATCACAGCTCCGCATCATCAAGGGAACAAAACTGGACAGAGAATGAGTTTTATGACTTGACAGAAGTAGGCTTCAGAAGGTGAGTAATAACAAACTCCTCTGAGTTAAAGGAGCATGTTCTAACCCAATGCAAGGACTAAGAACCTTGAAAAAAGTTAGAGGAATTGCTAATTAGAATAATCAGTTTAGAGAAGAACATAAATAACCTGATGGAGCTGAAACATACAGCATGAGAACTTCATGAAGCATACGCAAGTATCAATAGCCAAATTGATCAAGTGGAAGAAAGGATATCAAAGATTGAAGATCAACTTAATGAAATAAAGTATTAAGACAAGATTAGAGAAAAAAGAATGAAAAGGAACAAACAAAGTCTGCAAGAAATATGGGACTATGTGAAAAGACCAAACACACGTTTGATTGGAGTACCTGAAAGTGACGAGGAGAATGGAACCAAGTTGGAAAACACTCTTCAGGATATTACCCAGGGAAAATTCCCCAACCTAGCAAGACAGGCCAACATTCAAATTCAGGAAATAGAGAGAACACCACTAAAATAATCCCTGAGAAGAGCAACCCCAAGACATGTAATTGTCAGATTCACCAAGGTTGAAATGAAGGAAAAAATGTTAAGGAGAGCCAGAGACAAAGACCGGCTACCCACAAACAGAAGCCCATCAGACTAACAGTGGGTCTCTCGGCAGAAACCCTACAAGCCAGAAGACAATGGGAGTCAATATTCAACATTCTTAAAGAAAAGAATTTTCAACCCAGAATTTCATATCCAGCCAAGCTAAGCTTCATAACAGAAGAAGAAATAAAATCCTTTACAGACAAGCAAATGATGAGAGATTTTGTCACCACCAGGCCTGCCATACAAGAGCTTCTGAAGGAAGCACTAAATATGGAAAGGAACAATCAGTACCAGCCACTGAAAAAACAAACCAAATTGTAAAGACCATCGACACTATGAAGAAACTGCATCAAATAACAGACAAAATAACCAAGTAGCATCATAATGAGAGGATCAAATCACACATAGCAAAACTAACCTTAAATGTAAATGGGCTAAATGCCCCAATTAAAAGACGTAGACTGGCAAATTGGAAAAAGAGTCAAGACCCATTGGTGTGCTGTATTCGGGAGACCCATCTCACATGCAAAGACACACACAGACTCAAAATAAAAATACGAAGGAAATTTACCAAAACAAATGGACAGCAAAAAAAAAAAAAAAAAAAAAAAAAGCAGGGGTTGCAATCCTAGTCTCTTATAAAACAGATTGTAAACCAACAAAAATAAAAAAAGACAAAGAAGGGCATTACAAAATGATAAAGGGATCAATGCAACAAGAAGAGCTAACTATCCTAAATATATATGCACCCAATACAGGAGTACCAAGATGCATAAAACAAGTTCTTAGACACCTACAAAGAGACTTGGACTCCCACACAATAATCATGGGAGACTTTAACACCCCACTGTCAATATTAGACAGATGAACAAGACAGAAAATTAACAAGGATATTCAGAACTTGAACTCAATTCTGGACCAAGCTGACCTAATAGACATCTACAGAACTCTCCACCCCATATCAACAGAATATACATTCTTCTCAGCACCACATCACACTTATTCTAAAATTGACCACATAATTGGAAGTAAATCACTCCTCAGCAAATGCAAAAGAATGGAAATCATAACAAACAGTCTCTCAGACCACAGTGCAATCAAATTAGAATTCAGGATTAAGAAGCTCACTTAAAACTGCACAACTTCATGGAAACTGAACTACCTGCTCCTGAATGACTACTGGGTAACCAATAAAATTAAGGCAGAAATAAATAAGTTCTATGAAACCAATGAGAATAAAGACACAACATACCAGAATTTCTGGGACATCGCTAAAGCAGTGTTTAGAGGAAAATTTATAGCACTAAATGCCCACAGGAGAAAGCGGGAAAGATCTAAAATCGACACCCTAACATCACAATTAAAAGAACAAGAGAAGCAAGAGCAAACAAATTCAAAACATACTAGAAGACAAGAAATAACTGAGATCAGAGCAGAAATGAAAGAGATAGAGACAGGAAAAACCCTTCAAAAAAAAACAATGAATCCGGCTGGGCACAGTGGCTCATGCCTGTAATCCCAGCACGTTAGGAGGCTGAGAGGCATATGGGTCACAAGGTCAGGAGATCAAGACCATACTGGCTAATGTGGTGAAACACTGTCTGTATTAAAAATACAAAAATTAGCCAGGTGTGGTGGCATGTGCCTGTAGTCCGAGCTACTTGGGAGGTGGAGGTTGCAGTGAGCCGAGATCGCACAACTGCACTCCAGCCTGGGCAACAGATGGAGACTCCATCTCAAAAAAAAAAAAAGGAATCCAGGAGCTGGTTTTTTGAAAAAATCAACAAAATAGATAGACCTCTAGTCACACTAATAAAGAAGAAAACGGAGAAGAATCAAATGGACACAATAAAAGATGATAAAGGAGGTATCACCACTGATCCCACAGAAATACAAACTACCATCAGAGAAGACTATAAACACCGCTATATAAATAAACTAGAAAATCCAGAAGAAATGGATAAATTCCTGGTCACATACACCCTCCCAAGTATAAACCAGGAAGAAGTTGAATCCCTGAATAGACCAGTAGCAAGTTCTGAAATTGAGGCAATAATTAATAGCCAACCAATAAAAAAAAAAAAAAAGCCCAGGGACAGGTGGATTCAGAGCCAAATTCTCCCAGAGATATAAAAGGGACCTGGTATCATTTTTTCTGAAACTATTCCAAACAGTAGAAAAAGAGGAACTCCTCCCTAACTCATTTTATGAGGCCAGCATCATCCTGATACCAAAACCTGGCAAAGACATAGTAAAAAAAGAAACTCAGGGCAATATCCCTGATTAACATCAATGCGAAAATACTCAGTAAAATACTGGGAAACGCATCCAGCAGTACATCAAAAAGCTTATCCGCCATGATCAAGTTGGCATCATCCCTGGGATGCAAGGCTGGTTCAACATATGAAAATCAATAAAAATAATCCACCACATAAACAGAACCAATGACAAAAATCACATGATTATCTCAATAGATACAGAAAAGGCCTTCAATAAAATTCAAAACCCCTTCATGATAAAAACTCTCAATAAACTAGGTATCAATGGAACATATCTCAAAATAATAAGAGCTATTTATGACAAACCCACAGCCAATATCATACTGAATGGGCAAAAGCTGAAAGCATTCCCTTTGAAAACCGGCACAGACAAGAATGCCCTCTCTCACTACTCCTATTCAACATAGTGTTGGATGTTCTGGCTAGGGCAATCAGGCGAGAGAAATAAATAAAGGGTATTCAAATAGGATGAGAGGAAGTCAAATTGTCTCTGCTTGCAGATGACATGATTGTATGTTTAGAAAACCCCATCATCTCAGCCCAAAATCTCCTTAAGCTGATAAGCAACTTCAGCAAAGTCTCAGGATACAAAATCAATGTGCAAAAATCACAAGCATTCCCATATGCCAATAATAAACAAGCAGAGAGCCAAATCATGAGTGAACTCCCATTCACAATTGCTACAAAGAGAATAAAATACCTAGGAATCCAACTTACAAGGGATGCGAAGGACCTCTTCAAGGAGAACTACAAACCACTGCACAAGGAAATAACAGAGGACACAAACAAATGGAAAAACAGTCCATGCTCCTGGATAGGAAGAATCAATATTGTGAAAATGGCCATACTGCCTAAAGTAATGCATAGATTCAATGCTATCCCACACCAAGCTACCATTGTCAGTCTTCACAGAATTAGAAAAAACTACTTTAAATTTCATATAGAACCAAAAAACAGCCTGTATAGCCAAGACAATCCTAAGCAAGAAGAACAAAGCTGGAGGCATCATGCTACCTGACTTCAAACTATACTACAAGGCTACAGTAACCAAAATAGCATGGTACTGGTACCAAAACAGACATATAGACCAATGGAACAGAACAGAGGCCTCAGAAATAATGCCACACATCTATAACCATCCTGATCTTTGACAAACCTGACAAAAACAAGCAATGGGGAAATGATTCCCTATTTAATAAGTAATGTTGGAAAAACTGGCTAGCCGTATGCAGAAAACTGAAACTGGACCCCTTCCTTACTTCTTATACAAAATTTAACTCAAGCTGGATTAAAGACTTAAACGTAAGACCTAAAACCATAAATCCCTAGAAGAAAACCTAGGCAATACCATTCGGGACATAGGCATGGGCAAAGACTTTAAAACACCAAAAGCAATGGCAACAAAAGCCAAAATTGACAAATGGAACCTAATTAAAATAAAGAGCTTCTGCACAGCAAAAGAAACTACCATCAGAATGAACAGGCAACCTACAGAATGGGAGAAAATTTTTGCAATCTACCCATCTTACAAAGGGCTAATATCCAGAATCTACAAGAAACTTAAACCAATTTACAAGAAAAAAAACAAACAACCACATCAAAAAGTGGGCAAAGGATATGAACAGACACTTCTCAAAAGAAGACATTTATGCAGTCAATAAACATGAAGAAAAAGCTCATCATCACTGATCATAAGAGAAATGCAAATTAAAACCACAATGAGATAACATCTCACTTTGGTTAGAATGGTGATCATTAAAAAGTCAAGAAACAACAGATGCTGGAGAAGATGTGGAGAAATAGGAATGCTTTTACACTGTTGGCAGAAGTGTAAATTAGTTCACCCATTGTGGAAGACAGTGTGGTGATTCCTCAAGGATCTAGAACCAGAAATACTATTTGATCCAGCAATCCCATTACTGGGTATATACCCAAAGGAATATAAATCATTCTACTATAAAGACACATGCACCAGCATGTTTATTGCAGCACTATTTACAATAGCAAAGACTTGGAACCAACTCAAATGCCCATCAATGATAGACTGGATAAATAAAATGTGGCATATATAAACCATGGAATACTATGCAACCATAAAAAAGGATGAGGTCATGTCCTTTGCAGGGATGTGGATGAAGCTGGAAACCATCATCCTCAGCAAACTAACACAGGAACAGAAAACCAAACACTGCATGTTCTCACTCATAAGTGAGAGTTGAACAATGAGAACACATAAACACAGGGAGGGGAACATCGCACACTGGGGCCTGTCAGAGGATGGAGAACTAGGGGAGAGATAGCATTAAGAGAAATGCCTAATGTAGATGACGGGTTGATGAGTGCAGCAAACCACCATGGCACGTGGATACCTATGTAACAAACCTGCATGTTCTGCACTTGTATCCCAGAACTTAGCGTATAGTTAAAAAGAAAAGAAAAAGAAAAAAAATGCTAAAGGGAGTCCTTCAGGCTGAAATGAAATGACACTACATAGTAACTTGAGCTGTAGGGAGAAATAAATATCAATGGTAAATATAATTGTATAGGCATATATAGAAGTTAGTATTTTATATTGTTTGTTTACAACTATATCTTTGCTTCCTATGTGATTTAAAACAAAAATGAATACAAATAATTATAAATCTATGTTAATTGTTACCCATGTATAAAGATGTAATTTGTGACAATAACAACCTGAGAGGGGGACAGAACTGGATATGATAAAAGCAGAGTTAATGTATACTATTCAAGCTCAGTTGGTACCAATTCAAACTAGACTGTTATAAACTTAGGATGTTAACTATAATGACCATAGTAACCACTAATAATATAACTCAATGAAACTATATGAAAAGGAAGTAAATAGAGAATGAAAATGGTAAACTAAGAAAAAATTCAAATAAAAAAGAAGGCAGTAACAGAGAAATTGAGGAATAAAAAAGATTTTAAAAATAGCAAAATGGCAGAAATAAGTTCCCATTTGTCAGTAATCACTTTGAATGTCAATCTATTAAACTCACCAATTAAATGACAGATTGGCAAAATGGATTTTTAAATGATCCAATTATATACTGTTTACAAGAGATTCAGTTTAGACCTAAAGACACAAATAGGTTGAAAGTGAAATAATGAAAAAGATATTCCATGCAATTAGTAACCAATAGACAGCTAGAGTGTCTATACTAATAGCAGAAAAAATAAATTTTAAGAAAAAGTTAAAAGAGACAAAGAAGGACATTGTACGTTGATTTTTAAAAGGTCTTATCAATAAGATATAACAATTATAAATATACATGCATCAAATAACATAACCCCAAAATATGTGAAGAAAACATTGACAGAATTAGAGAGACAGTTCTACAATATTTAGAAACTTCAATACCTCACTTTTAATTATCAATAGACTATCTAGACAGATGATAAATGATGAAAGAATAGCACTATAAAGCAATTAAACTTAATCTACATACATGGAACAGTCTACCCAATAACAGCAAAATGGATATGCTTTTCAAATCCTCATGGAATATTTTTTAGATTGACACTCTGTGAGGTTATAAAAAAACTGTCAATAAATGTTAAAATATTAAACTATACAAAAAGTGTTTTCTGACCATGATGGAATGAAGACAAAAGTCAACAACAGAAGGAAGCTGAAAAATATAGAAATATATGGAAATTAAACAGTATGCTCTTAAATAATCAGTAGATCAAAGAAAAAATTACTAGAGAAATTATACTTTGAAATAAATGAAAAAAAAAAAAAAACAACCACAGTATACCAAATCTTAGGGATGTTGCTAAAACAATGATTAGAAGAAAATATGTAGCTGTAAATGCCTATTTTATTAAGAAAACAAGATTATAAATCAGCCAAGCATTACATCTAAGGAGCTAGAAAAAGAACAGCAAACTAAATCCAAAGCTAGCAGAAGGAAGGACGTAATAAAAATTAGAGCAGAGATGAACAAAAAAGAGAATAGAATAATAAGAACTCTAAAGTCACTAAAAATAAACAAAGTATTAACTCTTTATGACCACAGATTTGGCAATGAATTCTTAGATTTGACATCAAGAGCATGAGCAATGAAGAAAAAGAGATAGACTCCATAAAAATTAAATTTTTGCACATCAAAAGATATTAACACAAAAATAAAATGAAAAGACAATCTATAGAGTGGAAAAAATATTTGCAAGTCATATATCAGATTAAGAGTTTAGTATTCAGAATATATAAAAATATGTATAAAGAACTCTTACAACTCAACAACAAAAAGACAAACTATCCAATTTTAAAATGGGCAAAGGATTTTGAAAAGACTTTTCTCCAAAGATGTACAAATGGCTAATACATGAAAAGTCATTCAACATCATTGATCATTAAGGAAATGTAAATCAAAACCACAATAAAATCACATGCACTTTTTGAAAAATGATGCTTCCATTGCTTTCCTCTGAAGAATACTTTCAGAGCTCATTTTATGTCTTTATTACTTGACTTTAAGATGAAAACGTTTAGTAAGGGTTTAACCACAGTGTGCCTCACTGAGGCAGTTGCATTAGAGCATGAGTTGTGGGTAGCAGCAAAACTAAGGTACAATCCTGTGCTCCTACAATAAAATAAGGACATATTTGAGAGGTGAGACACGCAGGTGGGAAATGCTTTATGCTTCCCCTGAGCTGATGGGATTGCACATATGGATGAAATGATCTTAGAGAAAGAGTAAAAAAATACCAGCAATGGGACCACCACTCAGCAGCATAGTTGTACAATACCTCACTATGTCTTTGAGAAAGGTGTCAGAACAGGCAAGGTGGACCACCTAATTAAGTTCACAGAAAAAGTTTGGGATTTCCAAGTCAGTACAAAACAAGCTTTGTATCTGTATGTAACAAGTTTTGTCCTCTGAGTAAAGGATTTGGCATAAGGTCTATATAATTTCATGTATCATCTTGCTGTTTCTTCTTAAAATTTTCCAGTGTTACCTAAAAATCTGACTCCTTCCATTGTCCCAACTAATATTTTCCTCTTTAAAAATTATGTCATAAGCATTAAAGTATAGTAAATGAAAAAAAGAAAAAACATGATGAGATACCACTTCACACACACTAGGATTATTACTTTTTTTTTTTTTTTTGAAATGGAGTCTCGCTCTGTCACCCAGGCCGGAGTGCAGTGGTGTGATCCTGGCTCATTGCAACCTCCACCTCCCAGGTTCAAGTGATTCTCCTGCCTCAGCCTCCCGAGTAGCTGGGACTACAGGTGGGTGCCGCCATGCCCAGCTAAGTTTTTGTATTTTTAGTAGAGATGGGTTTTCACCATGTTAGCCAGGATGGTCTTGATCTCCTGACCTCGTGACCTGCCCGCCCTGGCCTCTCAAAGTGCCGGGATTACAGGCGTGAGCCACTGCGCCTAGCCAGGATGATTATTAAAAGAAAACAAAATAAGAAGTGTTGAGGATGTGGAGAAAAAAGAATACTTATCCATCATTGGTGGCAATATAAAATGGTGCAGCTGCTGTGGAAAACACTTTGGCAGTTACTCAGAAAAGTTAAACACAGAATTACCTTATGACCCAGAAACCTCACTTCTAGGTTTATACTTCAAACATTTGAAAGCAAGACTTGAAGATGGCTGAATAACAGCCCCGTCTGGCAGCTTCCAGCGAGACCAACACAGAAGATGGGTGATTTCTGCATTTCCAACTGAGAGGACAGATTAGGTAGTGGGTGCAGCCCATGGAGGGCTAGCAGAAGCAGGGTGGGGCATCGCCTCACCCAGGAAGTGCAAGGAGTTGGGGGCCTCCCTTCCGCAGCCGAGTGAGGGACTGTGCTATCCAGCGCAGGTACTATGCTTTTCCCATGATTTTTGCAATTCACAGACCAGGAGATTCCCTGTGTGCATACACCAAAAGGGCCCTGGGTTTCAGGCACAAAACTTGGTGGCTGTTCGAGCAGACACTGTGCTAGCTGCAGGAGTTTGTTTGTTTGTTTGTTTGTTTGTTTGTTTGTTTGTTTTCATACCCCAGTGGCACCTGGAACCCCAGCAAGACAGAACCATTCACTCCCCTGGAAAGGGGGCTGAAACCAGGAAGCCAAGTGGTCTCGCTAAGTGGGTCCCATTACCATGGAGCCCAGCGAGCTAAACACCACTGGCTTGAAATCTTCACTGCCAGCACAGCAGTCTGAAGTCAACCTGAGAGGATCCAACCTGGTAGTGGGAGGGGCATCACCATTACTGAGGTTTGAGTAAGCAGTTTTCCCCTGCCATTACCAAGGACTAGGCAGAACTCAATGCAGCATGGCAAAGCAGCTGTGGTCAGACGGCCTCTCTAAATTCCTCTTCACTGGTCAGGGCATCCCTGAAAGAAAGGCAGCAGCCCCAGTCAGGGTCTTATAGATAAAACTCCCATCTCACTGCTTAAGAGCACCTGGGGGAAGGGGCAGATGTGGATATAGCTTCAGCAGAATTAAATATTCCTGCCTGCTGGCTCTGAAGAGAGCAACAGATCCTGAGAAGGAGGGTTCTCCAAGCACAGGGCTCGAGCTCTGCTAAAGGACAGACTGCCTCCTCAAGTTGGTCCCTGACTCCTGTGCCTCCTAACTGGCAGAGACTTCCCAACAGGGATTGACAGACACGTCATACAGGAGAGCTCTGGTTGACATCAGGCCAGTGCCCCTCTGGGACAAAGCTTCCAGAGGAAGGAGCAGGCAACAGCAATCTTTGCTGCTATGCAGCCTCTGCTGGTGATACCCAGACAAATAGGGTCTGGAGCAGTCCTGCAGAAGAGGGGCCTGACTGTAAGAAGAAAAACTAACAAACAGAAAGCAATAACATCAACATCAACAAAAAGAACCCCCACACAGAAACACCATCCAAAGGTCACCAACTTCAAAGATCAAAGATAGATAAATCCATGAAGATGAGGAAAAACCAGTGCAAAACGGCTGAAAATTCCAAAAACCAGAATGCCTCTTCTCCTCCAAATGATCGAAACTCTTCTCCAACAAGGGCACAAAACTGGACAGAGAATTAGTTTGACAAAATGAAAGAAGTAGGCTTCAGAAGGTGGGTAATAACAAACTCCTGCGAGCTAAAGGAGCATGTTATAACAGAATGCAAGGAAGCTGAGATCTTTGAAAAAAGGTTACAGGAACTGCTAACTAGAATAACCAGTTTAGAGAAGAACATAAATGACCTGATGGAGCTGAAAAATACAGCACGAGAACTTCGTGAAGCATACACAAGAATCAATAGCCAAATCGATCAAATGGAAGAAAGGATATCAGAGATTGAAGATCAAGTTACTGAAATGAGGCATGAAGACAAAATTAGAGATAAAAGAATGAAAAGGAATGAATAAAGCCTGCAAGAAATATGGGACTATGTGAAAAGACCAAACCTACAATTGATTGGGGTCCCTGAAAGTGACAGGGAGTATGGAACCAAGTTGGAAAACACTCTTCTGGATATTATCCAGGAGAACTTCCCCAACGTAGCAAGACAGGCAAACATTCAAATTCAGGAAATAGGGAGAACACCACTAAGATACTCTTTGAGAAGAGCAACCCCAAGACACATAATCATCAGATTCTCCAAGGTTGAAATGAAGGGGAAAATATTAAGGGCAGCCAGAGAGAAAGGTCAAGTTACCTACAAAGGGAAGCCCATCAGAATAGGAGCGGATCTCTCAGCAGAAACCCTACAAGCAAGAAGACAGTGGTAGCCAATATTCAATATTCTTAAAGAAAAGAATTTTTAACCCAGAATCTCATATCCAGCCACACTAAGCTTCATATGTGAAGGAGAAATAAAATCCTTTACATACAAAGCAAATGCGGAGGGATTTTATTACCACTAGGCCTGCCTTACAAGAGCCCCTGAAAGAAGCACTAAATATGGAAAAGAACAATTGGTACCAGGCACTGAAAAAACATGCCAAAATAAAAAGACCAATGACACTATGAAGAAACTGCATCAACTAATAAACAGCCAGCTAGCATTATGATGACAGGATCAAATTCACACATAACAACACTAACCTTAAATGTAAATGGTCTAAATGCCCCAATTAAAAGATGCAGACTGGCAAATTGGATAAAGAGTCAAGACTCATCAGTGAGCTGTATTCAGGAGACCCATCTCATGTGCAAAGACACACATAGGCTCATAATAAAGGGATGGAGGAATATTTACCAAGCAAATGGAAAGCCAAAAAAAAAAAAAAAACAGGACTTGCAATCCTAGTCTCTGATAAAACAGACTTTAAACCAACAAAGATAAAAAAAGACAAAGAAGCGCATTACATAATGGTAAAGGAATCAATGCAACAAGAAGAGCTAACTATCCTAAATATATATGCACCCAATACAGGAGCACCTTGATTCATAAAGCAAGTTCTTAGAGACCTACAAAGAGAGACTCCCATACAATAATAATGGAAGACTTTAATACCCCACTGTCAATATTAGACAGATCAACGAGACAGAAAATCAACAAGGATATTCAGAACTTGAACTCAGCTCTGGATCAAGCTGACCTAATAGACATCTACAGAACTCTCCACCCCAAATCAACAGAATATACATTCTTCTCAGCACCACATCGCACTTATTCTAAAATTGACCACATAATTGGAAGTAAAACACTCCTCAGCAAATGGAAAATAAAGGAAATATAACAGTCTCTTGGACCACAGTGCAGTCAAATTAGAACTTAGGATTAAGAAATTCATTCAATACCACACAACTACACGGAAACTGAACAACCTGTTCCTGAATGATTACTGGATAAATAATGCAAAAAGACAGAAATAAATAAGTTATTTAAAACCAATAAGATCAACTTACTGGTTGATGCACCAGAGTCTCTGGGACACAGTTAAAGCAGTGTTTAGAGGGAAATTTATAGCACAAAATGCCCAAAGGAGAAAGTAGGAAAGATCTAAAATCCACACCCTAACATCGCAATTAAAAAAACTAGAGAAGCAGAAGCAAACAAATTCAAAAGCTAGCAGAAGACAAGAAATAACTAAGATCAGAGCAGAACTGAAAGAGATAGAGACACAAAAAACCCTTCAAAAAATCAATGAATCCAAGAGCTGGTTTTTTGAAAATATCAACAAAATATATAAACCACTACCCAGACTAATAAAGAAGGAAAGAGAGCAGAATCAAATAGACGCAATAAAAAATGATAAAGGTGATATCAACACCGATGCCACAGAAATACAAACTACCATCAGAGAATACTATAAACACCTCTATGCAAATAAACTAGAAAATCTAGAAGAAATAGATAAATTCCTGAACACAAACACCCTCCCAAGACTAAACTAGGAAGAAGTTGAATCCTTGAAAAGACCAATAACAAGTTCTGAAATTGAGGCAGTAATTAATAGCCTACCAACCAAAAAAAGTCCAGGACCAGATGGATTCACAGCCAAGTTCTACCAGAGGTACAAGGAGGAGCTGGTACCATTCCTTCTGAAACTATTCTAAACAACAGAAAAAGAGGGAATCCTCTATAACTCATTTTACGAGGCCAGCATCATCCTGATTCCAAAACCTGGCAGAGACACAATAAAAAAAGAAAATTTCAGGGCAATATCGCTGAGGAACATTGACGTGAAAATCCTCAGTAAAATACTGGCAAACTGAATCCAGCAGCACATCAAAAAGCTTAACCACCATGATCAAGTCAGCTTCATTCCTGGGATGCAAGGCTGGTTCAACATATACAAATCAATAAACGTAATCCATCACATAAGCAGAACCAATGACAAAACCCACATGATTATCTCAATACATGCAGAAAAGGCCTTTGATAAAATTCAACACACTTTCAAGCTAAAAACTTAATAAACTAAGTACTGATGGAACATATTTCAAAATAACAAGAGCTATTTATTTCAAAACCATAGCCAATATCATACTGAATGGGCAAAAGCTGGAAGCATTCCCTTTGAAAACTGGAACGAGACAAAGGTGCCCTCTCTCACCACTCCTATTCAACATAGCATTGGAAGTTCTGGACAGAGCAATTGGGCAAGAGAAAGAAATAAAAGGCATTCAAATAGAATGAGAGGAAGTCAAATTGTCTCTGTTTGCAGACGACATGAATGTATATTTAGAAAACCCCATCGTCTCAGCCCACAAACTTCTTAAGCTGACAAGCAACTTCAGCAAACTCTCAGGATAAAAAATCAATGTGCAAAAATCACAAGCATTCTTATACACCAATAATAGACAAGCAGAGAGCCAAATCATGAGTGAACTCCCATTCACAATTGTTACAAAGAAATAAAATACCTAGGAATACAACTTACAAGGGAAATGAAGGACCTCTTCAAGGACAACTACAAACTACTGCTCAAGGAAATCAGAGAGGACACAAACAAATAGAAAAACATTCCATGCTCATGGAAGGGAAGAATCAATATCACGAAAATGGCAATACTACCCAAAGTAATTTATAGATTCAATGCCATTCCCATCAAGGTATTGTTGACTTTCTTCACAGAATTAGAAAAAAACTACTTTAAATTTCATATGGAACCAAAAAAGAGCCTGCATAGCCAAGACAATCCTAAGCAAAAAGAACAAAGCTGGAGGCATCACACTACCTGACTTCAAACTGTACTGCAAGGCTACAGTAATGAAAACAGCATGGTACTGGTACCAAAACAGATATATAGACCAATGGAACAGAACAGAGCCCTCAGAAATAACGCCACGCAACTACAATCACCTGATTTTCAACAAACCTGACAAAAACAAGCAATAAGGAAATAATTCCCTATTTAATAAATGGTGCTGGGAAAACTGGCTAGCCATATGCAGAAAACTGACCCTTCCTTACACCTTATTCAAAAATTAACTCAAGATGGATTAAAGACTTAAACATAAAACCTAAAACTTTAGAAACCCCAGGAGAAAACCTAGGCAATACCACTCAGGACATAGGCATGGGCAAAGCCTTCATGACTGAAACACCAAAAGCAATGGCAATAAAAGCCAAAGCAGACAAATGGGATCAAATTAAACTAAAGAGCTTCTGCACAGCAAATGAAACTATCATCAGAGTGAACAGGCAACCTGTTCAGAATGGGAGAAAATTTTTGCAATCTGCCCATCTGACAAAGGGCTAATATCGAGAATCTACAAGGAACTTAAACAAATTTACAAGAAAAAAATGAACAACTCCATCAAAAAGTGGGTGAAGGACCTGAACAGATACTTCTCAAAAGAAGACATTTATACACTCCACTTCCAAGAGGGGCAAATAGGAACAGCTCCGGTGTGCAGTTCCCAGCAAGATCGACAGAGAAGTTGGTTATTTCTACATTTCCAACTGAGGTACCTGGTTCATCCTGGGACTGGACAGTGGGTGCAGCCCATGGAGGGTGAGCTGAAGCAGGGCAGGTGTCGCCTCACCTGGGAAGCACAAGGGGTTAGGGGATTTCCCTTTCCTAGCCAAGGGCTGCTGTGACAGACTGTAACTGGAGAAACGGTACACTTCTGACAAAATACTGCACTATTCCCACAGTCTTAGCAACTGGCAGACCAGGAGATATTCTCCTGTGCCTAGCTTGGCAGGTCCCACTCCCACGGAGCCTTGCTCACTGCTAGTGCAGCAGTCTGAGATTGACCTGCCTTGCTGCAGCTGGATGGGGGGAGGGGTGTCCACCATTGCTGAGGCTTGAGTAGCTCACAATGTAAACAAAGAGGCCTGGAAGCAGGAACTGGGTGGAGCCCACCGCAGCTCAGCAAGGCCTACTGCCTCTATAGATTCCACTTCTGGGGGCAGGGCATAGTAGAACAAAAGGCAACAGAAAGCTTCTGCAGACTTAAACATCCCTGTCTGACAGCTCTGAAGAGAGCAGTGGTTCTCTCAGCATGGCGTTCGAGCTCCGAGAATGGACAGACTGCCTCCTCAAGCAGGTCCCTGACCCCTGTGTAGCCTGACTGGGAAACACCTCCCAGTAGGGGTCAACAGACACTCAAACAGGTAGGTGCCCATCTGTGACGAAGCTTCCAGAGGAAGGATCAGGCAGCAATATTTGCTGTTCTGCAGCCTCCACTGGTGATACCCAGGCAGACAGGGTCTGGAGTGGACCTCCAGCAAACTCCAACAGACCTGCAGCTGAGGGGTCTGACTGTTAGAAGGAAAACTAACAAACAGAAAAAAAATAGCATCAACATCAAAAAAAAGGACATCCACACCAAAACCCCATCTGTAGGTCACCAACGTCAAAGACCAAAGGTAGATAAAACCACAAAGATGGGTAGAAACCAGAGCAGAAAAGCTGAAAATTCCAGAAAGCACAGCAACTCTTCCCCTCCAAAGGATCACAGCTTCTTGCCAGCAACAGAACAAAACTGGATGGAGAATGAATTTGTTGAGTTTTCAGAAGTAGGCTTCAGAAGGTCGATAGTAACAAACTTCTCCGAGCTAAAGGAGCATGTTGTAACCTATCACAAGGAAGCTAAAAACCTTGAAAAAAGGTTAGACAAATGGCTAACTAGAATAAACAGTGTAGAGAAGACCATAAATGACCTGATGGAGTAGAAAACCATGGCACAAGAACCTCGTGATGGATGCACAAGCTTCAATAGCTGATTTGATCAAGTGGAAGAAAGGATATCAGTGACTGAAGATCAAATTAATGAAATAAAGCAAGAAGACAAGATTAGAGAAAAAAGAGTGAAAAAAAAACCAAACATAGCCTCCAAGAAATATGGGACTATGTGAAAAGACCAACTCTACATTTGATTGGTGTAATGGAAAGTGATGAGGATAGTGGAACCAAGTTAGACAACACTCTTCAGGATATTATCCAGGAGAACTTCCCTAATCTAGCAAGGCAGGCCAACCTTCAAATTCAGGAAATACATAGAACACCACAAAGATACTCCTCAAGAAGAGCAGCCCCAAGACACGTAATTGGCAGATTCACCAACATTGAAATGAAGGAAAAAATGTTAAGGGAAGCCAGAGAGAAAGGTCAGGTTACCCACAAAGGGAAGCCCATCAGACTAACAGCAGATCTCTTGGCAAAAACTCTACAAGTCAGAAAAGAGTGGGGGCCAATATTAAACATTCTTAAAGAAAAGAATTTTCAACCCAGAATCTCATATCCAGCCAAACTGAGCTTCATAAATGAAGGCAAAATAAAATCCTTTACAAACAAGCAAATGCTGAGAGATTTTGTCACCACCAGGCCTGGCTTACAAGAAATCCTGAAGGAAGCGCTAAACATGGAAAGGAACAACTGGTACTAGCCACTGAAAAAAAAATGTCAAATTGTAAAGACCAGCAACGCTATGAAGGAACTGCATCAATTAACAGGCAAAATGACCAGCTAACGTGATAATGACAGGATCAAATTCAAACATAACAATATTAATCTTAAATGTAAATGGGCTAAATTCCCCAATTAAAAGACACAGATTGGCAAATTGGAAAAAGAGTCAAGACCCATGAGTATGCTGTATTCAGGAGACCCATCTCACATGCAGAGACGCACATGGGCTCAAAATAAAGGGATGGAGGAAGATCTACCAAGCAAATGGAAAGCAAAAAAAAAAAGAAAGAAAGAAAAGCAGGGGTTGCAATGATAGTCTCTCATAAAACAGACTTTAAACCAACAAAGATCAAAAGAGACAAAGAAGGCCACTACATAATGATAAAGGGATCAATTCAACAAGAAGAGCTAACTATCCTAAACATATATACATCCAATACAGGAGCACGCAGATTCATAAAGCAAATCCTTCAGGACTTACAAAGAGACTTAGACTACCACACAATAATAATGGGAGATTTTAACACCCCACTGCCAATATTAGACAGATCAATGAGACAGAAAGTTAACAAGGATATCCAGGACTAGAACTCAGCTCTGGATCAAGTGGACCTAATAGACATCTACACAACTCTACACCCTAAATCAACAGAATATTCATTCTTCTCAGCACCACATCGCACTGATTCTAAAATTGACCACATAATTGTTAGTAAAACACTCCTCAGCAAATGTAAAAGAAGAGAAATCACAACAGTCTCTCAGACCACAGTGCAATCAAATTAGAACTCAGGATTAATAAACTCACTCAAAAATGCACAACTACATGGAAACTAAACAACCATCTCCTGAATGACTACTGGGTAAATAACGAAATGAAGGCAGAAATAAAGATATTCTTTGAAACCAATGAGAACAAAGACACAACATACCAGAATCTCTGGGACACATTTAAAGCAGTGTATAGAGGGAAATTTATAGCACTAAATGCCCACAAGAGAAAGCAGGAAAGAGCTAAAATTGACACACCCTAACATCACAATTAAAAGAACTAGAGAAGCAAGAGCAAACAAATTCAAAAGCTAGCAGAAGGCAAGAAATAACTAAGATCAGAGCAGAACTGAAGGAGATCGAGACACAAAAAACCCTTCAAAAAAACATCAGTGAATCCAGGAGCTGGTTTTTTGAAAAGATCAACAAAATTGATAGGCCATTAGCAAGACTAATAAAGAAGAAAAGAGAGAAGAATCAAATACATGCAATAAAAAATGATAAAGGGGTATCACTACCAATGCCACAGAAATACAAACTACCATCAGAGAATACTATAAACACCTCTAGGCAAATAAACTAGAAAATCTAGAAGAAATGGATAAATTCCTGGACACAAACACCCTCCCAAGACTAAACCGGGAAGAAGTGGACTCTCTGAATAGACCGATAACAGGTTCTGAAATTGAGGCAATAATTAATAGCCTACCAACAAAACAAAGTCCAAGACCAGATGGATTCACAGCTGAATTCTACCAGAGGTACAAAGAGGAGATGGTACCATTCCTTCTGAAACTATTTCAATCAATAGAAAAAGAGGGAATCCTCCCTAACTCATTTTATGAGGCTAGCATCATCCTGATACGAAAGCCTACCCATCTGACAAACGGCTAATATCCAGAATCTACAAAGAACTTAAACAAATTTACAAGAAAAAAACAAACAACCCCATAAAAAAGTGGGCAAATGATATGAACAGACACTTCTCAAAAGAAGACATTTATGCAGCCAACAGACATATGCAGAAATACTCATCATCACTGGTCATCAGAGAAATGCAAATCAAACCACAATGAGATACCATCTCACACTAGTTAGAATGGCAATCATTAAAAATCAGGAAACAACAGATGCTAGAGAGGATGTGGAGAAACAGCAACGCTTTAATGCTGTCAGTGGGAGTGTAAATTAGTTCACCCATTGTGGAAGACAGTGTGGCGATTTCTCAAGGATCTAGATCTAGAAATACCTTTTGACCCAGCAATCCCATTACTGGGCATATACCCAAAGGTTTATAAATCATTCTATGATAAAGACACATGCACATGTATGTTTATTGTGGCACTATCCACAATAGCAAAGACTTGGAACCAACCCAAATGTCTATCCATGATAGACTGGATTAAGAAAATGTGGCACATATACACCATGGAATACTATGCAGCCATAAAAAAGGATGAGTTCATGTCCTTTGCAGGAACATAGATGAAGCTCAAAACCATCATTCTAAGCAAAGTATCACGAGAACAGAAAACCAAACACCACATGTTCTCACTCATAAGTGGGAGTCGAACAATGAGAACACATGGACACAGGGTGGGGAACATTACACACCAGGGCTGGTCAGGGGGTGGGGGTCTGGGGGAGGGATAGCATTAGGAGAAATACCTAATGTAAATGGCAAGTTGATGGGTGCATCAAACCAATATGGCAGATGTATACCTGTGTAACAAACCTGCACATTGCGCACATGTACCCTAGAAGTTAAACAATAAATAAATAATAAAAAATTTTTTAAAAAGAACACATTTATGCAGCCAACGAACATATGAAAAAAAGCTCATCATCACTGGTCATTAGAGAAATGCAAATCAAAACCACACTGAGATACCATCTCATGCTAGTTAGCATGGTGATCATTAAAAAGTCTGGAAACAACAGATACTGGAGAGGATGTAGGGAAATAGGAACACTTTTACACTGTTGATGGGAGTGTAAATTAGTTCAGCCATTGTAGAAGACAGTGTGGTGATTCCTCAAGGATCTAAAACCAGAAATGCCATTTGACCCAGCAATCCCATTACTGAGTACACACCCAAAAGAATATAAATCATTCTACCATAAAGACACATGCACACGTATGTTTATTGCAGCACTACTTACAATAGCAAACACTTGAAACCAACTCAAATGCCCACCAATGATAGACTGGATAAAGAAAACATGGCACATATACACCATGGAATACTATGCAGCCATAATAAAAGAATGAGTTCATGTCCTTTGCAGGGACATGGATGAAACTGGAAACTGTCATCCTCAGCAAACTAACACAGGAACAGAAAACTAAACACTGCATGTTCTCACTCATAAGTGGAAGCTGAACAATCAGAACACACGGACACAGGGAGGGGATCATCACACACCGGGGCCTGTTGGGAGGTCTGGGGAAAGGGGAGGGAGAGGATTAGGACAAATACCTAATGCATGTGGGGCTTAAAACCTAGATGACAGGTTCATAGGTGCAGCAAACTACCATGGCACATGTATACCTATGTAACAAACCTGCATGTTCAACATATGTACCCCAGAACTTAAAGTAAAAAAAATATATATAGCAGGACTCAAACTACTACTTGCTCATGAATATTCATAACATTCACAATAGCCAAAAGGGGAAAACAATCCAAATGTCCAAGAATGGATAAATGGATAAACAAATTGTGCTACACACAAAAAAATATTATTTGGTCACAAAAAAGAATGAAGTGCTAATAGACGCTACAACTTGGATGAACCTCAAAAATTATGTTAAATGAAAGAAGCCAGACCCGAAAGGTCACCTGTTGTATAATTTCTTGTATATGAAATATCCAGAAAAGGCAAATCCATACAGACAGAGAGCAGATGAGTGTTTGCTAGGGTATGGATGGAGAGGGAAACAGGGAATGAGTGCTTGATGAGTATAAGGTGTTATTCTGGGGTGATGAAAGAGTTTTAAAACTACAGAGAGGTAGCTATTGCACAATGCTGTGAGTGCTCTAAATATGACTGAATTGTACACTTTAAAATGGTTAACTGTGTGTTATGTGAATTTCATATAAGAAAAAAACACCATACAAGTTCTACTCATTAGAGCTTCACCATTATTTGAAAAACTTGAAAAATTACATTTGTCAGTAAAAGGAAGGAAAGAGCTATTAGTTTTTAAATGTAATTTCAATGACTGCAAACTTTTCAGTCATCTTAAAATTTGTTTGACATGTTCTATCAGATACATATTTGGACAAATTTTCTCATTAATGGTGGTTCTTAAGACTTTAAGGAGATCATCATTAGAATGTCTTGATCAGGAATTGCATGTAGCTGTTTCAAGCATAGGATTAAAAAAATGTATTCGTAACATTTCAAGTTTCTCCTTCAAACATTCGAAAAGATTTTTTGGAAGTTCTTTTTATTTACAAATTCACTATTTAGCATATCTATCCTCTAATACCTTTTGTTACATCTTTCTTATCATTATTATACAGTATAAGAATGTTTCATTTTTTTACCAAATGCCATACTGGAATTAATCCTAATTACTTCCAAATTTATAAATATACTAACTAAATATGATTATTTTCTATGTGTACCATAATATGAAAAATGTTAAAAAGTTAAGTATCTGCACCTCAAAATAAATTCAATACTGTACCTTTTATTGCTAAGTCTTGTATCCCCAAGTAGATCAAAATTTGCTCAAGAAATGTGATGATGCCTTCAATTGCTATACTTTTATATTTTCCATAACAGTGTGAGTAGCTCAATAAATCCCTGTTGAACTGAACTGCATCATAAGGAAAATGTTCCACTCTGTGAGGTTAGTGCAAGCCTGGCCTTGAGCTGTTTACTTTGCAACAAGCATAACACCATATCCAGAAAGACTTACAGTAAATATTTGACTGTCTAGAAAATCTCAGGAGCTCTCTTACTTTTATTCACTTTCAACTGTGGTCTTCCTATTTCCCCAAGCCACCAGAAGGCTTGTGTGCCTTAGGCTGGAGCCACATGTGCTCATGATTATTGACTGAAGTTGTGTCCCCTCATGGAACATTAGCCTTGAACTGGTGTTGTCATGGGACCATGGACAATCTACTCAACAAACAGGAAAATGAGATTGCTCCTCCATGGAATTGAAAATCAAATGGAGATGAAAAAGTCTATTTTATAGAGATCTGAAAAATACCTCTTATTTCAACACTCTCTCCTTGTGAAGAAGAAAAAAAAAAAACCTGTGTGTTTTGATTTGCTAGCTTGTTTCTTATTGAAAAATAAATCAGAAGTTCCAAATTGACCAAAATTGGAAATTAACTATATTTGCATGCTCCACTGCCAGAAACCATGCCAGGTGTTTTCTTCTACTAACACAACAGAAGCAGGTGGGGAGGATCTCAGCTGAGGCAGGAGGAAGGGGATATGCCAGGCCAGATTTAAATGTGGGTACACATTTCTATAAAGTTTGTGTGGTCATTTTAAAATAAAACTTCATTATTTACCCTGTTTACATGAGTTTTTAAAAATTATACAGAATAAATAATAGCTCATAGAACAAGAGAAAGGACAAATGAGGACTAACTGAGATTATTGCCAAGTCTGAAGGCTATTTTTACAAACAGAATGAGAGAGGAAGGGGTCAGGATATATGGGCTCAGTCTCTTTAAGTGTCCAGCATTTCCACCAAGGGGCTCTGAACAAACCTCAGAAGCATATACCTAGTTAAAGCCAGCCACAAGCACTTATTTCTGGAGAGACTTTCATGTCTCAAATTGAACATGCACTTAACCATTTTTCTATTCACATTGTCGTTGGTCCTCACAGCAGGAACACATGCTGTGCTGTACATCATGGCTGCTTGGCCCCGAGGAATCAGGCCCCTAAAACTGTCTTTGTTGCCCATGGAGTTGCAACTAAGACTAAGCTATTTCTGGGATTTTTGACAGTAAACTAGCTTATTACTGAGATATTAATTGAAGGGGAGGCTGAGAATGGAAGAGGAAAGTGTGTTAAGCCAATGGCACTAACCTTAGAAGAAAATGAGAAATGATTTCCACGAAGCTGAGGACATTACTCTTGAGTCATAGTCTCCTTACTATGCCATCCACATTTTACCAAAAGGAGAAGGAGGGGTGAGGGAATGTTCGGAGCCATAAATAATTTTTTTCTATTTCTGAAATCCAAGGTTTTCCAGCAAGCATATTTCAGTCTAAGATGTGTTCCCTTTCAAACAGGGACACATTGAACATAGCTTGCTGGATGGGGAAAGCAGTGTAGAAACCACAGCTAATTCCTCTACTTTACAGATGGTGATGCTGCCCATTGTTTCAATTCACAAAATAAGTTGATGTGAGAAACCTGGGATTTTTGGCCTTCAGACCTGTTCTCTTTCCACCTCACCACATTCCATAATCAATGACAAATTTCAATCCTAAAATGCATCTTAAACAGGGAACTTTTCTGTTTCCATTAAACAGAACTTCACAAAGGGAGGAAAAATACCCGTGGGCTAAACAACAAATTAATTATATTTATATAAATCCATCCACCAAAAACCTATTTTATTTACAGTCTGTGCTTGCCTAACTACTCTTGTGTGATTACATAACTCACATTATTGTTTATCAACATGTGTTAAGATAGAACTTTCTATATTTTATTAACCCTGAAATTTTCGGGATAATGTTATAAATTTTGACAGTATTTGTTGAGGTTAAAGATAAATTGGTGCAGTTTAGATAGTATGATAACCAGGAACCAAAAAATACTCAAATCCCATTCTATCAACCCACCCTCTTCCCTACATGCTCCTGAGGAACCAAACAGCCAATGAACCCATCCTACTAAAAGTCCGTCAAAGGCCTTAGATGCAAAAAGCAAAGAGCTTTCTGTCTTAGACTTGGCGGAGCTACCTTACCAGGCCTAAATAAGTGTTCTACTTCTCATTACAAATCAAAACCTGAGAACCATCATGTTCAGACATGTTCCAGGGAGAGTTGTTGAATCTATACAAAAGACCTTGGCTTAACTGGCTCTCTCAGAGATAGAAGGACAGAGGCAGAATAGAAGAGTATGTTCATGAATATGAATTGCCTTTTAAGGCAGCGACCTCGCCCATCAGTGAACATGGTATAAGATGTGTATATAGTGTAACTATGGTGCAAGACATGGGAAATCTGAAATCAATATATGAATTTAACTTGAGATTGCCTTAGGGCCTTACTGGCAAGGGTTCAGATTGGAGAAAGCCACTAAGCACAAACCACCTTGGCCAATTCCTGCCTGTCTGACTCTAACGTCAAAGAGAAAATGTGTCTGAGTCTAGCTCACCCAGAGTTTTGGCAGGATATTTACACCACTCTGGAACAATAGCAACAGTGAACTTTCCCTTTGAGTACCCCCAGGTCAAAGCTCATCTTCCAGGAGAGCACTCAAGTTAATCACTGGCAGCAGATTCTATTCTCCAAGTCAAAAGCAAACAACTCCCCCCAAGTCTTCACTAAATATTCCTGGAAAACCTCTACTCCAAGTTGGTTTCACAAGTCCTTGCTGTTAAAAAAAAAAAAAAAAAAAGAATATCAAACGTGGGGCATTGACTAAAACAGTAGATTGAAACTGAATCATAGAATTTTTTAGCATTCTAGTTATTTTTTCTTCTTAATTTTTTGCATTATTTCAATTTGCAAAAAATAAAAGATACATATATATAAATGCACATAAGCCTGTGAGATTTACAGGGACCCTAAGTTGTTTCTTAATTGCCATGATACCTAGGCTTCCAACTCTCAACTATACGAACATTGCTTTCCATCTGGTACTGGTCACTTACTATGTTCAAGGTACTAATCTGTAAGAAGTATTGTGAGGAGTATAAAAATATACAAGACCCAGTTTAGGCTCTTGAGAATCTCACTATCAAGTAAGAGAGACAAAAAACATCACAAACAATAATATAAAAGCTGTTAAGGCAGTTTATCCTAACATTAAAAGACCGAACTTCGGAGTAATAACTACTGGGTTTAAATCCCACTTCAGTCATGTATTCGCCTGTGGACCTTCAGCAAAGATATTGACTACTCCGAACCTCAGTTTCCTCACCTGTAAAGTAGAAGTAATATAAAAATAGTATCAACATTATGATTTTTTAGGGGTTAAATGATTTTTTTTCCATTTTCCAAGTTAAAATGGCTGGTTCATATTAAGAACTCAATAAATTTAGCTATAATTATGTAAAGGGTGGCATGAACAAAAATATATTAAACAGATATATGCTTAAAAGACAGACCCTACAATCACTGAACAAGTCCAATTCTTGGCCCTCTTTTGATAAGTGACAGAGAGAGAGAGAGAGAGAGAGAGAGAGATAGAATAGACAGAAAGATTAATAGACAAATAGATAAGAAAATACCAAAACCAGCTTTCTTTCACCCAATAGAACTTTGGGAGATAATTATCTCCCATTATCACATAAAGAAAAATATAATTTGTTTAAATTACAGCTAGTGCCCATCTTTATTTTCCTAATTTCCTGTCTAGGGCAGTGCTAGTTGTTTGATTGCCCCCCATAGTGGAATATTTCCTTCTTCTTTCTTTGATTGGAACGCTCTTTGTGGTGAAGATTCTAAGACCAGGTCCACACTAATGCGAAAATAAACATGAGGGTGTTTTAAGTAATTTAAAAAATATTGATATAAAAAGCCCATCAAATCAGTATACTAAAAAGGGGTGAATAATTCCCAAAAGTCTAGAATTCCCAAATCTCAACAATCGTGCTAGAATGAACTATTCTCTGTATTTTTTAGAAAGGTCTAACTAGTATAAATTATCATTGTGGGTTAATTCATTTATTAAAAATTATTAACTGAATACTTATAGTATGCCAGGTGTTGTTATAAGTATCAAAGATAGAACAGAACAAAACACAGCAACAACCCATTTTTATAAAATTAATATTGGCAATTCAATATCATTGGGTTGGCTATGTGCTTAGAATGACCTTTGTAGCACCATAGGGAATACTAACAATATAAATGTTACTGAGTACTGATCTCCTGGTGCTTTATATCTCAGTAAGCCATGGAGGTGGAGTGAAAATAAGATTTGCTGATATGAAGGGGCCCATTGCAATGTAAAGCAAAGCAATCAATGCAAGACAAAAGTTTAAGGCAAAACAAGTGGCTCAGGGTATCACAGTTCAAAAACCTGAATGTGCTTTGTACTTAGTAGGCATATTTGAAAAGTAAATTCTTCTTTAAGCAAGCAGAGTTTTTGAAAAACAAATTTGTGGAAGTTGAGAAGGACCAAGAAAAATTAGAAAAATGGTAGAATATACATAATCAAAATAAGGTGGGTTACAGTGTCTCTATTATTGCTTATCTACTTGCTTGCTCAAAGAAGAATACTCTATAATTTACTAAAACTGGGAGTAAAATAGCACTTTGTGGCCCTGAAACTTTGATGTAACCTTGTTATTTAAACTCATATTGGCAGTTACAGGTTAATATTGACTAAAGCATTCAAATTACACAAAATTGTATTTTATGTAGCCAAGTAAAGTGACTGCCAAATGCGTTGGATTTATGTCCAAGTTTAGACCTAGCCAATTTGCAGACTGCCTGACACTAAACTTACTTGATTAAATTTTCCAGTCTCACTGTTTTCCAATAATGGTTTCTAAACTACCTTATTCATATAGTTAAAACGGCAATGAAAACAATATTTTTTGGTGGGAGGGCAGAGTATGAGTGAAGCTGTTTTGTTTTTGCTTTCTTAATCTTTTCTTCCTTTTTTTTCCTAAGGTCAGAACATCATTTCCAAGATTTAGTTTATAAAAAGAGGTAAATTCAAGTATTTCTAATAATGGAGTCAAGTGGATGGGGCTTGCTATTATGTTTTCAACACTTGTTAAAAGCCAGGACTGAGGGATGGCATTATGGTTTATAATCAACAATTCTAAGAACTAGAACTTTTTTGTATGGAATCTGGTTTCTCTCCATCAGTTTCATCTTTTTCCACTACTACAAAAAACTTACTGCTTTCTGATACTTTAACATTTTTATTTTAAACACTTTTCAGCATGCTTGGTTCCTTAAATACATGCTTCCTTCCCTTACTGCACTTATAATCTTTTGACAGAAACCGATACACTAATTGTTTAAGATCATAATCTAAAGCGCAACTGCTAGGTGTGACCCAAGTTTGAAACTCTCAAACTTCTAAATTCCAAGTGAAAAATGATTGTATTCTGGGTAGAGTTGCCCCTAAACATCTTTCTACACAAGATGACCAAGTATACATCACAGATCAGTAGTTAAATAGCTACACTTAAAGCCCTGGAAATGAATATTGAAGAAACCCAGTTTGCATATTAAGAAAAAGGGAAATAACATATATTTTGGAAGAAAGGTCTAGTAAGCCAAGGAATCTAGCTTCTTAGGAAAATTGTTATTTTAAATATGGGCTAAATTGATCTGAGTTCTACCACAATTACCGATACATTTAATGATGATAAACAAATAGGCAATGATCACAGCTCTGTTAGAGTAGCTGCTAAACATACCTGGAGGTAAACCAGAATGTGAGCTAGAAATTGACCTGCTGTCCAATATGAGACAGAAGTCCTTAGGGCCCCTGCAAAAAGCAATGCAAAATCTACAAAGTTTGTGGCAGCAGATGGAGGGGCTTTCTTAAGTCACAATAGTGTGTTCTATATCACAACAGTGGTATTCAATAGATAGTGCCACCATTGTAACTAACTACATAAATTGTTAGCAAGTTATGAAATTTGAGGAGGAAAAGAGAAGGTTGGAAATATAACCATGGGGCCAGCAAACCTGCTGTTGCCCTCAGCATATTCATTTATATTGGTGGCCAATGACACTGGAAATTCTCCAGAAAAGCAATCTCTCCACTTCAATTTCGGAAAGTGCTCTCATAAACGAGGCATTTTCCTCTAAGAACTAACCCCTGCTTAGCTTTTAGAATTCCTATTCTTAATTCTTATAAACCAGTTTTAAATAGTTATTCACTATACATAAAATATATTTGCTGACAGCCTAGTAATTCTCTAAATGATGTCACCAAATCCTCAGACAGAACCAAACCTCTAAAAGAACCTACCTCCTCATTTCAACAGACAGAATGAGAGCCCATTGGAATGCCAACAGCTGTGGCCAAAACAAATATCATTTCTTCTAAAATTAGTGTGCTTCTATTATAGTGTCTTTGGGCTCTTGCAGGGGAGGGGTCCCGGCTGTTCTTCAGCACTTCCCCAGACAGTTAATATACTGACAGCTAATTTGCAGAGTTTGTCCCTGCAATAAGTCTGGTATGATTAATTGACTCAC
This sequence comes from Homo sapiens, assembly GCF_000001405.40. NCBI lineage: Eukaryota > Metazoa > Chordata > Mammalia > Primates > Hominidae > Homo > Homo sapiens. Next base: position 46,573,268 of record NC_000012.12, on the reverse strand, counting down.
AGCACTGCTTGTGTACAGAAAAACAACACTGTTGACAGTGATTGCTAAATGCCAAAATTTTAAAACACTATGTATGACAGATAGCCCATTCTGCCTTGTGAACTAACTGCCTAGAAGAGTTGGGGGTGGGTGAAAATTGGGAATGAAAAAGTGGAAGAGGTAAAGAGTAATTATTTACTTTTCACTGTGCATGGAACACTATATATTATGCAGCAAAATGAACTTAACATATGCTCCATACACTGCAGGTAATCTATTGGGTAAAACAACCTGAAACCCATGAAAAAGACCTTAGGACATGTCTAAGCAACATTCTAGTGAATGTCTCTACAAGCACTACTTTACAGTCTCAAGGATGGTTCTCAACCAGAAACAATTTTATGCACCACGGGACATTTGGAAATTGTCTAGAGATATTTTTGGTTGTCACAGCTGAGGAGGATGAGATTTACTAGCATCTAGCGAGTAGAGGCCAGAGATGCTGCTAAACATCCTACAATGCACAGAACAACCCTTGACAGATAATTATCTGACTCAGAATGTCAATACTGCTGAGATTGAGGGACCCTGCTCTAAAAACAGTACTATCCAGTAAAATTTTAATGTGAGCCACATATGTCTTTTTAAAATTTCTGTTTTATTGTGAAATATAGAAAAAAAGAAATGGGAAATTAAATTAATAACATTTTATTTAACCTGATATATCCAAAATATTATAATTTCAACATGGAATCAATATTTTAAAATTATTCAAGTATTTTATATTCTAATTATTTTGGTACTAACTCCTCAAAATCCACTGTCTTTTGCATGTATAGCATACCTTATTTCAGGTTAACCACATTTCAAGTGGTATTGTAAAGTGTATTTCTCAAGGTTTAGAAATACATATTTCACTTTGTTGGTCTAGAAAAAGCTGGGGCTCTTCAATTTGCAAGACATGAGAGAAGTCCTCTCCCAAGCTTATACCAAAGATTTTTCTAGTTCTAAACAAGTGCCATGACAGACAAAATTGAAGATGCTGTTTGGAAAGCCTCAAAGGGTCATACATAAGAAGCAAGTGGATTTAAAAAAAGAGTTGTCTACCACAGGCTGATAAATATTGACTTCATTAACTGAATGGTACCCTAAAACTTAAAGTATAATAATAAAAAAAAACTGAATGGTAAATGAAATTGAATAGGGTACAGCCAAAGAACATTTCTGAATGCTTGGAATATACAGCACATGAGTCCACTTACCCACATTTGAATTCTTCAGAATGTATTAAAACTGGTTGTCTAACCAAAACATTGTAAGTCTTAAAGCCTCTTTTTCTTCCACCCAAAGTGTAAAACAACTTTTGAATAGCAAATTTAAAAGTTTCAAGTCCCAGATCAATCAGTCAGCAACACTTATTTAGCTAGCACTGTACATGGACCATGATATTATGCAATAAAAGGGGATTAAAAACAGCTCCTTTGAGTTGCTTACAATCTGCCTGGGGATAAATAAATGGTAACATATGAAAACAATTTTAGGTCATTTACAATGCAACATTTTACTGAATGCTTCTATAAACAATACTTTATACTCTGGGGCGTTTTTAAATAATATAGTTCCCTTCGTTAATGTAGAAATAGCTGAATATCATCGAAATCTATTAAAATTTACTGCCCCTAAATCAGTCTGCTAAGCCAATTACAAACAATTGAGTGCAGGTTTGTTTTGGAGCACACGAGTGTAATTAAATAGTTTTTTACTCTTTTAAAAAAGTTTCTCATGTTATATTTTCAGAAAAGGGAAATTTCATGGCGAGATTTCATAAAAATTTTGACCATACGAATGTCACAAAATAGAAAATCATTCTTTCTCACCTCTATTCTCAAATTGTAAACAGATTCAGATGTGCATACAGCAATGGCACCTTTATGAGGTAACAGGTGAAACCACACTTTTATGAGGATTGGAGGACCCAAACCACAAGATAAAGTTTGTGTCTTCTTTTGTCCCGAGTTTAATGCCAAATATATCCTGAAAGTGGAAAACACACTGTCATTTGCATATATTTATCTAGCATTTTTGTAAGCAAGACAAGAGTCTGAGCATAGTTCTTAGAACTTTTAGCCAAGTACAGAAATAGTTGTGAATGTGGGCAAAAAGGATACACACTGATTCACTATGTGGAAAAATCATCTCAAGCATCTAGCTAGGCAAAGATAGCTAGAAATATTAGATCTGTGCAAAATGTACCTGAAATTCATTCTACTTAATCACATTTTAATTCAATGCTTCGTATGCTGTTTTCTAAATGAATAAAATTATTAGTTACAAATAATGAAAATCACAATTGGGTAAATGGTCAGACTTTAACTCTTTAGGGTTTAAAATTTTTCTTTACAATTCAACAATGAAAAACAAATAATTATCCTCAGCAAAGTAACACAGAAACAGAAAACCAAACACCACATGTTCTCACTTATAAGTGGGAGCTGAACAGAGAGAACACATAGACACAGGGAGGGGAACGACACACACTGGGGCCTGTCGGAGGAGCGGGGTGAGGGGGAGGAAGAGCCTTAGGAAAAACAGCTAATGTATGCTGGGCTTAGTACCTAGGTGATGCGTTGATAGGTCCATCAAACTACCATGGCACATGTTTACCTATGCAACAAACCCGCACATCCTGCACATGTACCCTAGAACTTAAAATACAAATAAAAATTTTAAAAATGGGATAAAGGATATGAATAGACATTCTTCCAAACAATATATATAAATGGCCAATAAGCACATGAAAAGATGCTCAACATCACTAACAATTATAGGAGATTAAAAAAAAAAATTTCTAGAGTGACATAAGTAAGATGGCTGGCTACAGACACCTGGCCCTCATTCCCCTAACAAGAAAGGACCAAAGCAGTGAAAAAACATCTAAGATTTGAATGGAGTGTTGAAAGGAGAGTGCTGGAGGGCAGTGGGGATGTAGAGAGACAGCTGTGGTAATTGGAAGCACAGAGGAAAGTGTGGATGCAAAGTCTGCAACCTCATCTCCCTCACCCCCATCTGATCAGTCTGTAGATAGGAGAGACTTCCCCTTTTGGGGAAAAGGTAAGCAGAAGATCCCCACCAGGCCCCACTGCCATCGCAGACACCTACAGTTCTTACTACAGAATCCCACCGTGCTTGCAAGCCCTGAGCCCGGTTTGGAGAGCTGCCAGAAATTCACAAAGCTGCACTGCTCCGGATTGGGAGGGTAAGATGCGCACTCCCCACCCTTCACGCACTTCCTGTGAGTCAAACTGCTATATCACCATACCACCTTGAGATCAGAGCCACCTCTCAGGCGTGCGCGCCTCTGGGATCAAGTAGCCAGTGCACTTCTCTATCACTGGGGCTCCATCTTTATTCCAGCAAGCTCAGAAGGGTGGCTGAACACCACAAACCCAGCTTTGCAGAGCATAGGCCCAGGATCAGCTGCAACTCTGGCCCTGCACAGCAACTCCTGCTATCTGCACTTCCAGCTGGAGGAACAGTTTGGCAGTCCTACCCAGGGCAAACCCACCCTAGAGCCAGCCAAACTAATGCTTGCCATTTCTCCCAATCAGGAGGGGTCCCTGAGTCACCAAGCAGACAGCATACCCATAGGCTAGTGGTAAAGCTGCATACCCACATCCAAGGCCTGAGAACCAGCCTCATGGCACCTTCCAGACATGCCCCTGGCATACCCAAAGTCCCCACACCAACAACCAGGGTCTCAGTAAAGTCTTATAGACAGCCCCTAGCAATGCTCCCCCAAGCCAGCTGAACATCTCTGTGGCCCACATCCTGAGCCTGAGAAACAGCTCCACAGATTTCCCATGGTGGGCACACCCCCCAGGCTAGCAAAGAAGCTGTGTGCATATGCCCCTGGCCTTAGAAACAGCCTATAGACCAACCCCAGCAAACACGCCCCCAGGCCAGCGAAGCAAATACATGCCTGTGCCCCTGGCCGGAGTAACATTCCCAATCCTAGTGGCCAGAACTCAAGCTGGCCACCATGTGCACACATGTTCCTTTGACTTGAGAAATAAGCTAGCCCACCATGGCAAAGCCACACCACCATCACCACAAAATCTCAGCCTAGGCCACTGAGAAAGTCACAAATGTCACTGGCGTGAATTATGGCTGAAGGAACTACACAGAGACTACACTACTACATCCACCTGAAACCAAAGCCAATGCACCCCATCGAACCAGCACCCCAAGTCCCATTCATAATCAGTCTTTCCCTATAAAATCTATTCTATAAAATTGGAACAGGCAACTGATCCACCAGATGCATAAAAATCAACGTAGGAGCACATCAAACATAAAAAAGCAAGAAAACATAATGCCTCCAAAGGAATATAATAATTTTTAAGTAACAGAACACAATCATAAGTAAATATATAAAATGCCACAAAATGAGTTCAAATTAATAATCTTATGAAACTCAGTAAGATACAAAAAAATACAAATAGACAAATCAATGAAATCAGGAAAATAATTCATGATTTGAATGACAAATTTAACAAAGAGATATATGATTTTTTTAAAAACCACAGTGGCTCACGCCTGTAATCCCAGCACTTTGGGAGGCCAAGGTGTGTGGATCACCTGAGGTCGGGAGTTCAAGACCAGCCTGACCAACATGGAGAAACCCCATCTCCACTAAAAAATACAAAATTAGCCAGGTGTGGTGGTGCATCCCTGCAATCCCAGCTACTCACGAGGCTGAGGCAAGAGAATTGCTTGAACCCGGGAGGTGGAGGTTGTGATGAGCTGAGATCGCACCATTGCACTCCAGCCTGGGCAACAAGAGTGAAACTCTGTCTCGAAAAAAAAAAAATCTTAGAGCTGAAGAATTCAACAAATGAAATATTGAAAATCAATAGCTTCAACAACAGAAGAGACCAAGCAGAAGAAACAATTTCTAAACTTGAAGATAGATCTTTTGAAATAATACAGGCAGACAAAAATAAAAATAAAAAGAATGAAGAAAGCCTATAGGATTTATGGGACACCATTAAGCAAACAAATATTCTCATTATAAGTGTTCCAGAAGGAAAAGAGAAGGGAAAATGTGTAGAAATCATGTTTAATGAAATAATAGCCAAAAAATTCCCAAGTCTTGGGAGAGAAATGGACATCCAGATCCAGGAAGTTCAAAGAACCCCAACAGATTTAACCTGAATAGATCCTTATAGTCAAATTTTCAAAGGTAAAAGACAAAAAAAAATTCTAGAAAACAAAAGAAAAGTGTCAAGTCACATATAAAGGAATCCCCATTAGACCAGCAGCATGTTTCTCAGCAGAAACCATACAAGCTGGGAGAGAATAGGCTGATATATTCAAAGTACTGAAAGGAAAAAAAAAAAAAAAAAAACTGTCAGTCAAGAATATTATACCCAGCAAAGCTATCATTTCAAAATAAAGGAGAAATAAAATATTTTACAGACAAGCAAAAACTAAAGGAATCATTACCATTAGACCAGAATTACAATAAATATTCAATGGAGTCTTATATCTGAAAGTGAAAAAAATGAAAACCAACATCATAAAAAAAAGCAAAACAATAAAATTTACTGATACAGCCAATACACAAAAGAAAAATCAAATCTTGTCACCACAGAAAGCCACTCAATCACAAAAGTAAACATGAAATTGGAAGCAAGAAACAAAAACTATACAAAACAATTAGAAAATAATCAAGAAAATGATAGGAGTAAGTTCTCACCTATCAATAGTAACCTTGGGTATAAGATTTAATTCTCCCAGTTAAAAGCTATAGATGGGCTAAATTGACTTTTTTAATGAAAAAAAGACCCAAAGATATGCTACCCACAAGAAATTCACTTCTTCTGTAAAGATACATATAGACTGAAAGTGAAGGGATGGACAAAGATATTCCATGCAACCAGAAACCAAGAGCAAGCCAGTATAGCTATACTTATATCAGATAAAACAGACTTCAAATCAAAAGTCATAAAAATAGACAAAGACATTATATAGTAATAAAATGATCAATTCAACAAGGGAAAATAATAATTGTAAATATACATGAACCCAACACAGGACCACCCAGATATATAAAGTAAATGGTACTCATTCTAAAGGGAGAGATAGACTCCAATATAATAATAGCTGGGGACCTTCTTCCACTCTCAGCTTTGGACAGGTCATGTGGATATAAAATTAACCAAGAAACATCAGATGATTTAAACTGCACCGTAGATCAAATGGGTTAAAGAGACATATGAAGAGCATTTTACCCAATAGCTACAGAATACGCATTCTCCTCATCAGCATGTTGAACATTCTTCAGGACTCGAAAACAAAAACAAAACAGGTCTCAAAAATTTTTTTTAACTTGAAATTATATCAAGTATCTCATCTGACCACAGTGGAATAAAACCAGAACACAATAACAAGAGAAACATTTGAAACTATACAAATATATGTACTTTTTTTTTTTTTTTTTGAGGCAGAGTCTCACTCTGTCGCCCAGGCTGGAGTGGAGTGGCGTGATCTTGGCTCACGGCAACCTCTGCCTTCCAGGTTCAAGCTATTCTCCTGCCTCAGCCTCACGAGTAGCTGGAACTATAGGCACACACCACCATGCCCAGCTAATTTTTTATATTAAACACATGGAAATTAAACAACTTGTTCCTGAAGGATGATTGGGTGAAAAAAGGAATTAAGAATGAAATTTTAAAATTCATTGAGACAACTGAAAAAAGAAACACAACATACAACAACCTACAGGACACAGCAAAAGTGCTAATCAGAAACATATTTAGCAATAAATGCCTACATCAAAAATTGAGAAAGACTTCCAATAAACAACCTAATGATGAATATCAAGGAGCTAGAAAAGAAAAAATAAACCCCAAAATGAGTAGAATAGGAAACATTATAAAGATCATGGCAGAAATAAGTGAAATTGAGATTAAAAAACACAAAAGATCAATGAAACAAAAAGTTGGTTTTTTGAAAAGATACACGAAATCAACAATCCATTAGCTAGATTAAGAAAAAAAGAGAGAAGACCCAAATAGATAAAATTAGAAATAAAAACATATTACAACTGATACCACAGAAATACAAAGGATCATTAGAAACTACCATAAACAACTATATGCCAATGTATTAGAAAATCCAGAACAAATGGGTAAATTCCTGGACACATGCAATATACCAAGATTGAGTCCAGGAGAAATAAAAAACCTGAAAAGACCAATAATGAGATTGAATCAGTAATAAAAAGCCTCCCAGCAAAGAAAAGTCTGGGACTAGATGGCTTCACTGCTAATTCTATCAAAACTTTAAAGAAGAATTAATACTAATTCTTCTCAAACTATTCCAAAAAAATGAAGCAAAGAGAACTCTCTCTAACTCCATCTACAAGGCCAGCATCACCCTCATCTGAAAACTAGACAAGGACACAACAAAAAAATAAAACTACAGACCTATATTCCTGATGAACATAGATACAAAAATCCTCAATGAAATACCAGAAATTTAATCTACCAATATATCAAAAGATTATACACCATGTTCAAGTGGGAGTTACTCCAGGAATTCAAGAATGGTTCAATATATGCAAATCAATAAATGTGTTACATCACATCAACATAATGAAGGACAACAACCATATGATTACTAAAATAGATGCAGAAAAAGCATTTGATGACATCCAGCATCCCTTCATAATAAGAATTCTCAATAACTTAGGATAGAAAGAAAGTACCTCAACATAATTAAGGTTATATATGACTAACTGACAGTGAACATTATACTAAATGGGGAAAAAACTGTAAGCTTTGCCTCCAAGTACTGGAACAAAACAAGAATACCTACTTTCAGCACTCTTATTCAACATGGCACTGGAAGTCCTAGCCAGAGCAACTAGTCAAGAGAGAAATAAAGGGCATCTGAATTGAAAAGGAGAAAGTCAAATCATCTCTGTTTGCAGACATAATCTTATATACTGAAAAGAAACTAAAGACTCTACAAACTTTTAGAACTGATAAATTCATTAAAGTTGCAGGATACAAAATCAACATAAAAAATCAGTAACATTTCTATACACAAAGAGCAAACTAATTAAAAAGAAATCAAGAAGGCAATCCCATTTACAATAGCTATGGAAAAAAGAAGACCTAGGAATAAATTTAACCAAGGAGGTGAAAGAACACTATAAGGAAAACTACAAAACACTGATGAAAGAAATCAAATTGGATACAAACAAATAGAAAGACATTTCATGCTCATAATAGAAGAATTAATATTTTTATAATGATAATACTACCCAAAGCAATCTACAGATTCATTGAAATCTCTATTAAAATACTAATGGCATTTTTCACAGAAATAGAAAATAAATCTTAAAATTTGTATGGAGCCAAAAAAGACTCCAAATAGCCAGAACAGCCAATAGAAAAAAGAAGAAAGCTGCAGGCATCATACTACCAGAATTCAAAATATACTATGAAGCTATAGTAACCAAAACAGCATGGTATTGGTATAAAACAGACACATAGACCAGTGGAACAGAATAGAGAACCCGGAAACTAATCCACGTATCTATAGGCAAATGGTATGGACAAAGACAACAAGAACATTCACTGGGGAAGGGACAGTCTTTTCAATAAACAATGCTAAGAAAACTAGATATCCATATACAGAAGAATGAAACTAGACCCCTACCTCTTACCTCATACAAAAATCAACTCAAAATGGATTAAAGACCTAAATGTAAGACCCCAAACTATGAATGTACTAGAAGAACACACAGTGGAAACACTCCAGAACATTGATTTAGGCAAATATTTTATGGCTGCGACCTCAAAAGTACAGGCAACAAAAGCAAAAATTAACAAATGTGATTACATCAAACTAAAAAGCTTCTGCACATAAAAGGAAACAATAACACTGTGAAAAGACAATGGACAGAATATGAGAAAATATTTGCAAACTATTTTTCTATGAGGGAATTAATACCCAGAATATACAAGGAACTCAAACATCTCAACAGCAAAAAAATCCAAACAATCTAATTTTAAAATGGGCAAATGATTTGAACAAACATATTTCAGAAGAAGACATACCAATGGCCGACAGGTGTTTGAAAAAAAATCCTCAACACCATTAATCATTAGGGAAATGCAAATCAAAACCACAATTAGGTACCCCAGTTAGCATGGCTATTATGCTATTGTCAAAAAGACAAGAAAACAAATACTGGTGAGAATGTAGAGAAAAGGGACTCTTAATCACTGTTGGTGTGAATGTAAACAGTACAGACATTATGGAAACAGTATGCAGTCTCCTCAGACAACTACAAATAGAACTACCAAATGATCCAGTAGTCCCACTACTGGGTATTTATCCAAAGGAAACAAAATCTATATATTAAAGAGAAATCTGTACCTCCATGTTTATTGGAACACTATTCACAATAGCCAAGATATGGAATCCACTTAGGTATCCAATAACAGATAAATGGATAAAGGCTACATGTTTTCACACAAGCTAAATAAATAAATAAATAATAATTTAAAAAAATTTGATCTCCTAGGAGTAAAAAGTAGAACAGAGGATACTGGAGTCTGGCAAGGGTAGGGAGAGGTGGGGACATGCATGGATTTGTTAAAAGATATAAAATTACAGCTAGATAGGGGGAATAAGTTCTAGTGCTCTATACCACTATAGGATGACTATAGATAACAATAATGTATAGGTTCAAATAGCTAGAGGGAAGATATTAAATGTTCTCAACACAATAAAATGAAATTATGAATATGCTAATTACCCTGACCTGATCACTACACATTATATATATATCAAAACATCACAATGTACCACATAAATATGTACAATTATTATATGTCAATTTAAAATTAAATTTTAAAAAAAGAAATATTGAGAGGGATGATAGTGATGGTTGCACAACAATGTGAATGTACTTAATGCCTCTGAACTGCACACTTAAAAACAGTTAAAATGACCAATTTTATGTTATGTATATTTTACCATAATAAAGAAAAACATAAAACTTCCGTAGAAGAGTCTCAACTGAGTGCATACAGAAGTCATTTACTGTGTTCTGTTTGTGTTCTTGCTGTGTTCCTGCCCCTCATTATTTCCTTGCGCCGCAGAGAAAGAAAGAGACTGAATAGAAAGCCTGTTGCATTTGTGTTTTTTCCTGTGTGCCAAATGCATGAATCAACTACCGTTTCCACTTGATGTCACACAGGCATCTGAAACTCAAAGTATTGCACAACTGAATGCATTGTCTTCTCTCCCATGCCTACTTTTCCTCTTCTATTCTTTACTTATATTGGCATCAAAATTGTAAAGTAAAACCTTTGGCTTTAGTCACAGACACTTGTATTTCAAACAACCACAGTCCAGCTTCCCAAGATACCGCAGATGTGGGTTCCAGCAGCACATGGTGTATTGCCCTGTATCTCAATCATCAAATCAAAAAACTGGGGAGCTATACTTGATTTCTCATCTACTCAGCCCTGCATCTCATTCTTCAAGAATAACTGACTCTACCTCCTCAGACCTCACAGATCTGCCCCACTTCTTCATTCTTTCCAGTATTACTTTAGCACCTAACTAGTCTTGCTATTGTTAGTTTTGCCTTACCCTAATCTATCCTTCAATGTGTTATCAGAGTGACCTTTCTAAGATACAAATATGTGTAGGTACCTTTCATGTCTGAAAAACTAAACTAAAGATGCCTGCTGCTGCCATTGTAGCAACTCCTATTCCAGGAAATAGGAACGTAGATGGAAAGAACATAAAATAGGAACTGAATGACATGCAATATCTGTTGACCAAGATTACATCACTCTGGTAACATCCGTATGTATCACTGATGAAGCATTTATTTATTTATTTTTCAACCAATTTAGAAAGTTTATTTTGCCAAGGTGAAGAACACGTCCATGACACAACCTCAGGAGATCCTGGCAACATGTGCCTAAGGTGGTGGGGGTACAGCTTGCTTTTATATATTTTAGGGAGATAAGAGACATCAGCATATGTAACATTGTCATTGGTTCTGGTAGGGGGTTGGGGTTCCAGGTCATAAGTAGGTAAAAGACAAAAGGTTGCATTCTTTTGAGTCCTTCATCAGCCTTTCACTGAATACACAATGTAATCTGGCTCAGTCAATCTGCATTTTTACATAAACAATAGGGCAGAGGAAGCAATCAGGTATGCATTTGTCTCAGATGAGCATAGGGATGACTTTCTGTCCCACACCTGTGAAGATAAGCTATTGGTTTCCATAGCCAGGGTGAAATTCAACAGAACAGAGCAATTCTCCTGTCTCAGCCTCCCAAGCAGCTGGGATTACAGGCGTCTGCCATCACGCCTGGCTAATTTCTGTATTTTTAGTAGAGACGGGGTTTCGCCATGTTGGCCAGGCTGGTCTTGAACTCCTGACCTCAGGTGATCCACCTGTCTCAGCCTCCCAAAGTGCTGGGATTAGAGGCATGAGCCACAGCACCCAGCCTGTAGCTGTATTATTGAGGAATAAAATGGGAGGCATGTTTGCCTGATGTAGTTCCAGGCTTGACTTTTCCCTTGGCTTAGTGATTTGGGGCTCCTGGGGTTTATTTTCCTTTCACAGTGATATCTATTTTTTTTTTTTTTGGTTGTTTTTTGTTTTGTTTTGTTTATGAGGTCAGTCTCGCTATATTGCCCAGGCTGGTCTTGAATTCCTGGGCTCAAGCAATCCTCCCGTCTTGGCCTCCTGAATAGCTGGGACTATAGGCATGCACCACCGTGTTCGGCTTCTTTAGTGATATCTTCTGAGCACACAAAGCACCAGCTAACATTAACATGCTCATGATTTTGGCAACCCCGCCTAGGGGTAAAGTGTGATGAAGCATTTATAAGTTAAATCACCTCTGTCATAAATTGGTCTCACAGAATAGTCCTTTCTTTTTTTACAGTCCATTTTTTCCCACTTATTTCTATTCTTAATTTCAAAAATATTTAATTTTCTAATTATATTTCTCACACATTCAAGAAAATAACTTGGAATCTAGAAATAAAATGCAACAGCATCTGTGATATCATTAAGCAGTGAGCACATCTTGTAAAAACAGAGAAAGTTACACTCCCAAGGTCTATGAGCAGGTGCAATACACCTTGGCTGCTGAAACCCACATCTGCAGAGTCATCGGAAGCTGGACTGTGAGTGCTTGAAGTACAAGTGTATGTGACTAAAACCAAAGGTTTTACTTTACAATATTCTAAAAAGTCAAAAGTGTGATGAAATACACAACCAAATAGGTAGTTTAAAAAGAAAAAATTAAATGATCATTATCTATAAGCAATGATTTTTGGTTTAAAAACCTCAGTTGAGTCAACTGAAAAACATTAGAAATAATGAGTCCAGAAACATAGCTAATCATAAGATAAATATGCCAAAGACCCATGGCTTTCTTGGAAACCCACAAAAATATATTTAGAAAGTATGAGAAAAAAATCCCTATTCTCAAAAGCAACAAAAAACAAAATATCCTAAAAACTGCCTTTTAAAATACATGGGGATGTAATGAAATACATATCATGGTTCTGCATAAGGATATTGAATTAATTAAGTTAAAAGTATAATGCAATTATTATCAAAATTTTAATAGGATTTTCCTGGTAATGAACTGTTGCTAAAATTTATCTGAAAAAATAAATTCTATATATTTTGAACAAACTCAGAAAACCTCTTACTCTCCTCAGTTTATTTTTTCAGAAAATCCTAGGCTGGCTTTTAAGTGCCTTGCCTAATATATACCTCTGGCATTATCACACTTCACTGCAGCTCTTCATTTTCATGTCTTTCTTCCCTTGGGCTGCTTGAAGTCAGGGATAGTATCATTTGTCTTTCCCACCACCCAGCACAAAGCCTGGCTCAGGGAGCATTCAATATGTTTGCGGAGTAAGTGATTTTTAAACTGGTTAAACAACCACACCAGAGAATGACGGTTAACAGATCAATGTCACTCTGAAGGGTGGGCACCAGTGCCATAAAAGGATTCTCTTTGTCCTGCCTTCTTCTCCATTTTCATCAGTGATTCAATGAATTTGTATATGATACATTTGCTATTTTGTGAATGAAAAGAATCAGGGAAGAATAAATCCTAACCAGGCAGAAATGAGAATGCTACTGAATTCTGATAGGCTGGAAAAATAAGCCTAATTTAGGAGGGTAAATTTCATTAAGTGCAAGTGTAAAATATTGTTCAAGCACATACATGCACACACACAGCCCTATGTGAATAGGAATTGGAGGACGCAGGACAGGAGTAGATTTTTTAGAACAAACTTGGAGCCTTGGAAGCCACACACAGAGATATATCCTCCAAACTCAAAAACAAGGTGGATTTTTTGTGGTCTAAGTGGTCCTAGACTCATCTTGAAAAGCAAAAAAAAATGTTATAATGTTTCCAGATTTAATAACAATCTTCAGGTTTTTATGGTTATATTTGTTTGGATTAAAATCACTTAATATTTGACTGCCATTTTAGATTTCTATGGTATCTGTTTGTGTCATCTTTTTTTAAGCAGAAATATAATTTGGTGCCAGTAAACAATTGCCTCTGTGAGCCTTGGGAAAATTAAACCTTTCCCTGAATCTTCATGTAAGCATGTAAGGACTCGACCAGATACAAAACCAGACACGAATTTGGCCTTCAGCCTTTCCCATAACTATGAGAATAGCATTGTTGTGGCCAAATGTAGATACGTAGACAAGGAGCTTGTTCTATTAGAACACTTTCGTCTTTTCTGGAAGGTTCTCAAATATCAAGATATATGATATGAGTGTTGCTCCATCAAATAAATTTTATTTGAGAATCCTCTCAGAACATCAAGCTACAGCAGTGAGAGGCACATCTGTTAAACAGAGAGTATGCGAGACTTACCAAATAAAGAAATTAGACCTGCTGTTTATGCCATATCTTAAAACATCTTTGCTTTCCTTTGTCTTTTGTCTCTATTTCTCTCTCATCCATTTATGTGCATATTTTGCCACTACCAATGTAGCAGAATACAGTGGAGGCACGTGCATAAAAACTCTAACTTAACATAAACAAATTATATTTCAGGTTTATTTTCACTTCAGATATATGTGAAATTTGCCCTTTTAAAAGGTAAGTTTGAGCATTAAGTTATTAATACTTTTTTCACTCTATCCCACGGCCATTATTCATAAGTGATAAGGGCCAGAAAAATGGGCGTATCTTCAAACATGTAGCTACCAGTCTGCATGCCTCACAAAACAAAACTGCTTCCTATAAATATTTTCACATACAAGCAAATTTCCCTGCGTACCATGAGGAATGCGACAGAGACAGGCAACCTACCATTATACTTCCAATAAATGCAAGTGCACAAGATGGTTCCTGAACTGTTGCCACGGATTTCAGTAATATCTTTTGGTTTACCAGACACATAATTGACTAGCTCAGACTTGACTAAAAAAAATAAAAAATAAATGCTAAATGTCTGGTATGTCTGTAGAAGAAAATGCCAACAATATCATGTGTTACACTGTTAACACTATGAAAGAAAAAGGAGTGCTAGAGATCAAAATTTTCCATCCTTACTTTCTCCCTTAATGAACTGTTATATTTTCAGACTTTATAAATATAGCATAAATATCATCTGGGATCTACTCTCTCCTTGATTCAAACATCCATCCCATGGGTTGTAAAAGACCAAAACCCTCTCCAAAATATCTAGACATTTGTGGGGGAAGGAAAGCTGGAGAAGGAAGAGCTGGTACTTCCTTGGCTCCAAATGCCTGCTTCTGCTTAATTTACTCATTTACCACTCTTCCTGTTGGTGCTGACCCTATTCCACCCAACATGGAAGGAAACCTTTCCCATAATTTTCAATCCAAGAACAAAAGAAAACCCTCAAAAAATGGGTTCTTATGACAGACTTTACTAAAGTTTGAGGAGTTGGAATACATTACAATTACAGAAACAGACACCACTTGATTGACAATTAAACATTCTAGTGCTGAATAATCCTGCAGACACCCCAACGCCTGTATTTTCACTCACTGCCTTTACCCTCTGTGATTTCCCAGTATTGCATCATCTCCCTGGCTATTCTGCTCCTCTCCCCTTCCATGAACATTTCTCCTTCTCTACCCCTTCTTTCATATATCTTCCCAATTCCAGTGAAATCTCTGCATATCCAACCACAAAAATTAGTACTAAGACTACCTTACCATATTCAGATCCAAAATGGTGCTCAGCAGACCAAAACATATCTTCTGTTTACAGTATCCAACTTCCTCTGAAGCCAGTTGGGGTTGGTCTTGGCCATTTCCCCCATTTAAATGATAACATATGTGTTTGTTAAAATAATTTGGAGCAGGATTTGAAAATCTGGAGAAACCAGTTGTTTATGTCTTTGCATATCACAACTTTTTAAGAATATAAATTTCAAATTAACCCAACTATTCAAGGTTATTGGAGTGAGTCATGTCTCTCCTTTCGTGCTCATGGTTGCTTAATCGTGAAAAGACCATCATATAAAGATCAAGGAGATCAGGTTCGATTGAAACTTTTTCCTGACTTCCTCACACTGTCAGCCACCCTGGCTCAGCATCTCGAAGTTTTCCCTCCAATGTAACTATCCTTACATGCTATGGAGGATAAAAGCAAGATAGGAGTGTCTTAACATGAGTGAATTGTGACAGTTAAGAAAATAACATTGTATCCCAACTTCAAATGATTTCTTAGTACATAAGTGTTACCCTAATTGCCTTCTCTTCTAAATTGTTGTTTGGCTTTTTACAGACGTATGCAGCATTAATTTTTTTACACATTTTATACTTATGCACTGTTGTTGTATTTTGTAGTCATGTAATAAATTATGCTGACATAGGTGGGGGCAGAATCTGCTGTCTTCAAACATTGCTTATCTCATGTCTTACAGATGCTAGCATCCGATTCTCACATATGAAGTGAATCTAAATGGTCTCACACAACAATTTTTGTCGTGGGGTTATTATTCTAATGATATCAGTTTGAAATAAGATTCACTTTGACAAAAAGAAAGAAAGACGTATTTTGCTAAAGAGAAAAAGAGTTCCCAGATTTACTCTTTTTTTTTCCATCTAGCCAAAGCTGTATTTCTGACTGAAAGTGTACCTTACTCACTCGCCTTGTTGTTCAACTCATGGTTTAGAGATGCCCTGGAGGTGAAAATGACTGCTGAAGGGCTTATTCCATCCAACCCTATGATTCACCGGTCCTATGAGCCATAGTTTGTAATTGTAACATAATGGAAGATATTATTTTATGAAAGGAGAAGCTATGACTTGTCCAAAGAAGAAATATACATTATAGTAAATATAAGGTGAATTAGGATACAAATTAACACTTTCCTTTTGTATGAATAGGATTTGAGTGAGTCATTTTAGATGGGAAAAAAAAGAGACTAAAAGTTTAATTGATTATTTAAAACATTTGGTTTATTCTTAATGAGTAAATCATCCTAAATTATGTGTTTTCTTTGTTCTTAAGGAAATGAGCTTTTGAATAGAAGGATTTAAATACTTTAATATTAATTAAAATGTATTTTTACTTCTTTAGTTACTTCAGAAATATATATGTTTTAAATTTCCTTTTATAGTAGATATATTTCCACTTCATTAATCAAGAAAATTTTATTGGTGTCATATAAGTACAAGCATTTAAAAGAAAAGTAAGCAATTTGCCAATATGATGAGTAGCCAAATTTGAAACTCAAACACTTTAAGAACCAACTGACTTACAGTAATTGTGTTGTATTTTTCCATCACAGACAAGAGCATTTTGGACTATCTTATTATAAATCCAGAGTCCAGGGAATTCCAATGAGATAATGTCATTGACCTTGAGTACAGATAATCAGTGGTGAATGTTGTAATATGATAATGTGAAAGTTGCAAGAAGCTCATTCTCAGACTCTATTAAAAAACCTGCTAAATAAACAATAGGATGAGGCACAGTGCGAACTAAGGGAGCAGAACTTTAAGGCATGTTACCTAAAATAGAAAGGCTTCTAAATAACTCTAAGAGATTAAGAGTGAGCCCTCACGCTTAACTGCTGTTAAATTAGTTCAGCATGTGAGCATCTATCATGTACTCTCTCCTCTGCATCATGTAAGTGACCAAAGATAAATGTCAACTTTTGTCTCAATGATTTTCATTTAGTTTTTTCCTTTGCCTTTTGTATCATTTAAGTCAATTAAATTTTCCACCATTCTGAAAGCATGCAGCTTCATCAAAAATACTCCATTTCCACAAACGGCACACTCCACTGTGAATAAGAGAAAAATGTTGACTCTTTAAAGGAGCAATGCCATAAGAGAAAAAGGTGCTATGTATTTTGCACCTACAGGCTGCCAAAAAACTCCTTGATATTTGTCAGAAATGCAGCTGTAATTAGGGAGAGCAAAAGAAAATCAACTTCAGTTTGTTAACTGACCTGAGGCATCTAATTCATGTACATGTTCATTTTGTTAAAACATGCAAGCAAAGAGCTATTGGAGGCCATATGCCATTTGTTATGAAAAGCACATTCCTTTAGTCTTTGTAATGAAAGCCATATGGCTTTCTGAAAGTTAATTATATCATAAATATGCCGTAATAGTGGGGAGTGTGGTCTAGTAGTTGCTGGAAGAAACTTCGAGACTGGTTTTGAGTCAGTTTCTCGGTTGATTCAATTCAGAATTTCGGGGAAGTCACATGCCCACTGTGCCTCAGTTTCCCAATACTGAGAATGATGATAATAACATAGCACCTAAGTAAGAGAAGAGAACTGAAATGTTTTCTTACTTAAAGGTAAATAAAAAATACAAACTATAATTTAGGTCAATAAACAAACAGTAAAAAGATTCTTTTGAAATATTAACTGGATAATTTATCAAAATTGTCGCTTCCTCCTTCCGGTCCTTCTTTCCCACCACCAAAAGAGTAATCTTTCTGAAACACAAGTCAGATTGTTTATTCCACTGTCATACCTTACTTGCAAAATAGTGCTTGAATTCTGTATAAATGGTCCCCAGGCTGCTGGTCCAACCTCATCTGCTACCAGTCTCTCCTTGCCCTGTCACAAAGACATACACACCATGCCCTACATAGGTTTCACTCATTACATCAAGGATGTCCTACATCCTCTTCTCCATTTAACTCATGTGTGTGTCAAGGCCCAGACCATCATTTTTCCCAAAGGAAGGCCTTTGACTCCTTTAGGCCATTGGTAGTTCCTTGCCCTGAGCTACAATAGCACTTGCTGTATACCTTCATAAGCACTTACAACATTGTAGAGTAATTATTTTTAAACACACCCCTCTCTTCCCCATCAGAATTGAGGCTCCTAAAGGGAAAAGTCTATGCCCTGTAAAATAGCAGGTGCTCAATAAATAGTTTATCGTCCACTTTTTAAAGTCAGAGATAACTAGCTGTTTGACCCAGGGGCCTAGTTGTTAACTAGTTTCCATATCCATTTTCATCTCAAAACCCTCTCTCTGTTAACATTTTATAAGAGTCAGAAAATGATCCCAAGGGACTCGTAATGTTCTTAACTATTGAAAACAGCTTTCCACTGTGCTATCCTTTTGATGCAAGAAAATAAACTTATTTTAGAAAGTTTTTCAACAAAAACTAAAGCCAAGTGCTTTCTGCTTAAACTTAAGCTGACTAAAAAATTAAATAAAACTTAAGTCTTCATTCCCCAAATATTCCAGTTAATCATGGTTTTCTGGAATCTTCATGCAGCATGGAAGCCGAATGAAACAAGAAGCCAACATGTCCAACAATTATATCCCCACCTTGACATAACTAATTGAAGACAGTTGTGCCTGGCATGATAATAATGACCCTAAATTGTCTAGCATTAAATTCCCATCCCAGTGATACAGAACATTATTCTAATGGCCTAATTTGATTTTTAAAAATTACAAAACTGCACGTTGTGCACATGTACCCTAGAACTTAAAGTATAATAAAAAAAATTCATTTGGTTATGCTTGTGGTTTATACTTTAGAGGAAAACCTCTCTCAGATTTCATGGGAGTTGGATTTTGTAGAAAGTAGGTGTTCAAAGAATCCTGTTTTAGGAAGTAAATCATATCCACATGTTCTAAGAGTAGCAAAAAAGCAAGAACATTTATGTCTGTGATATGTTCATGTGACTCAGAGCAAAATCAGAGAGGAATGTCTAAATATCAGAGGACATTGGACAGAGTCTGACTTACAAATTTGTTGGGAACTGCTTTATAGGAAACAAGCTTTAGGATCTGATTTGAGGACAAGGCAACAGGGAAATAATAATAATAATAATAATAATAATAATAAAGGCAGGAGGGGATTATTGATAGAATTGAGCTCCAAACTTTTAATTTCCCCAAAATAGTTTCCAGATGGTCAAAACTATCTTTCTATGTATGATATTTTCAGGCACTAAATAAAACATTATTTATTTAGTAAATAACTAAATTAAAAGTTATACATCTGCCTACATGTTAATTTCTCAGTAAGATAGCACATTCGTTTTAAATACTGTCACTGTTGATACTAACCCTTTGATACTCAAGACACCTACCTGCCTGGGGGTGAGCAGTATGTTCTAATTTCATCAGAGCTTCAGATTTGTCACCACCCCTGGGATGCAGGGCTCTGAGTCATGAGGATATAACAATCCTGTACTTTGATATCCACTTTCCTCCCAGAAGGAGAGTCCTAACTAACTGTTTGAAGATGCTCTCCCTTCTTCTTTCTGCATCTATAGGTTGCAAGTTATGAAACTATTGCAGGGGGAAAGAAAGGAAAACTACTAACAAGGGAAATAAGGTGGCATTTCCTCATTCTCCAAATCCTTTGTCATCTTACCGGAAACAAACCCAAACTGGGGCTCAGAAGACTGGAGGCTCCTCCTCAAGCCTGCCTCTCTGCTAAGTTAATGAGCCGCTTTTAACCTCTGTCAGTCTTCTACTTTCTTAATAGAAATATTAAGAGTATGAATAACCCTATTAAGTACAGGTGAACTTATTAAAAGACTATTACATAAAAACATTGACTTGCAAAGGATCATTTTTATTACTAAGCCATGTATGTATTCATTCATTCATTTGACAATTATGTTTGAATGCCTACTATATATCAGAGAATGGGTGCTGGAATTTAATAATGACCGAAGCACAGTCCCTATCCTTGTGGAATTTAAAGTCTAAAAATGAAGACAAGGGTTGATTGAATAATCACAAAACAGAAAATTACAAACTGATACGTATAGAATTACAACACATAATTATTATGATCCGGAAAATACTGTATTTTCACTATTGAATGCTTTTGTTTCTTCTCTAATTTGTATATCAGTTCATTTTAATCATCGAGGGATTCCTGAAAAATACTTTTCCAGTATAGCATGCTATTTGTAAGTTGAGGCTTTTAGATAATGATTAGAATTGAGATTTCCAGATGAAACTGAGTCCTCATTTAGTGAAACAGAGGAAATGTTGGTACAAATTTAAAACCAGAAGATAGGAAGACAAGACCTAAAGGACTTTTCCTAGAAGAACATGGGACATATTTACAGGAAAACCGTCTTTCAGTCTTTTTAATATAAAGATCCTACATCTAACCTGAAGGACATAGCATTAAATGAAATTAGCCAGGAAGAGAAATACAAATACTGCATAACCTCACTTATATTTGGAATATAAAATAGTCAAACATAGAAGCAGAGAGTAGAATGGTGGTTACCAGGGGCTGGAGGCAGGAGTGAGGGGAAGATTCAGGAGATGTTAGTCAAAAGATACAAAATTTCAGTTAGACAGGAAAAACAAGTTCCAGAGCTCTATTCTACAACATGGTGATGATAGTTAATAACAAAATATTGTACCCTTGAGAGAGATTTTGTGTTCCCACCACAGAAAACAAAGGATACGTAGGTGAGGTAATATATACATTATATATTTAGCTCAATATAGCCTTCCCACAATGTATACATATCCCAAAACATCATGTTATACACCATAAATATATACCACTTTTATTCATCAATTAAATAAATAATCCTATATCTGTGGTGATAGTAACAGCTTACCCATTACATACGCCAAGGTAATGTTCTAAGCACTTTATAAATATTAACTTGTGTAATCATTCTAATAACCCTCTGAGATAGGTAGTGTTAGTGGTAGTGAAATTATCGCCATGTTACAGATGAGGAAATTGAGGTACACAGGGATTACACACAGCCAGGTCCTGGAGCAGATCCTGGATGCAAACCCAGTCTGTGCTCTTATCCACCATGTTCTATGGCCTCTTATTCGTACCATTGTTCTGCTGAAACATGTCAAAAATTATGGTTTTTTGGTTCAATGATCTAGAGAGCATGTTGAAAATATATCTCTACCCCTTTTCATATTCTAAGAATAAATTCTACTTGATAATTCCTGGTGGGAGTGATATTCAAAACAAAGCAAAACAAAACCTTCAATTCTTTTCAATCAGAAATTTAGTCTACTTGGATTTAAAACAAAAAGAGATGATTTCATAACTACTTTTCAAAAACAAGAGGCTCAGTTCCTCATGCTTTAGCAAAATGCTTCTTTATTATTGCAGAGTACATTGCACATAGGTTTGATAGACATTCTACTGTGAAGGAAATGATTCTCCTAAAATTTGGTACAGCACTATGTGAAATGGTGCCCTTAGTCTAAAGTTTAGGATATAAATTAATGTGGAAAAATCAGACCTGAACTGGCCCTGCTCTATCTCCATGTCATTTTGGAGCTAGAAATGCATCTACAGAAGGTGTGTTGATGACTAAACCCTTGTCATCTCAAATCATGCTGCTTCCTAGGTTTCAATCATTCCAGAAGATTTCAAGAAAGGAAGAAAAAGCAACAAAGCAAAAGAGACACCAATTTAGTCTGAAGAATGCCTTTTGACTTTTTTAACAGTAGTGAGATTCTTTTTGATCCCAAAGTGCTGGGATTACAGGCGTGAGCCACCACGCCCAGCCTGACACACTCCTTTTGATGAAGGCGAAGCTGTTTGTCCAAGTGTTTGTTTGTTTGTTTGGTTGGTTGGTTGGTTTCTTTTTAGAGTTAAGGTACTGAGGTTAGAGCAAAAGACTCAGCTTTACTCAGCTGAAAAGGGGATAGGGATGATGTAGGAATTAAAAGGATACCAAAGCT